>NC_000011.10:35211515-35363030 GCF_000001405.40 Homo sapiens | reverse complement strand
TCTCTCTGTGCCTTCTTCTTGTCCCCAATAGGAATAATAGTAGTGCTACCTCATCAGGTTTTTGAAAGATTCAAACAAGCCAAATGTGAAGCATTTAGAATGTGGCTGGCACATAGTAAGTCTTCAGTGAAGATTAGCTAGTATCATTGTCCTAAAGTGATAAATGTCACCAAAAGGGGGAGTAGATGCTGCAACTAGAAGTTGGATGTAGTCAGGCTGCTAAGACATGAGACCTGAAAATCCAGTTTGCTGTGGATTTGCCATGGATTCCCATGGCGACTCTCAAAAGCAAAGTTGCTCAAAGGCCATTTAAGGCTCATAAAGTCAATGGTTGTTTTGCCTAAGAAATTTTTGTGGAATGAACAAATACAACATAGTAAGGATAATCATAATAGTTACCATATGTTGCATGCCACATTCCAGGCACTTTCACATGTATTGATGGAATTAATTTTCACTACAGTCCCGTGAATAGTTATTATTATTATCATCTGTTGTATGAATGAAGTATTTGAGGTTCACAGATGTTAGATAATCTGTCCAAGGCCACACAGCTCATGAGTGTTGAAAGTAGGATTGGAATCTCAGGTGGTGCTCCAAAAGATGTCCACTGCAGGCCACAGGATTCTTTATTTTAACATATTTATCTATGGCTGCTATTAGGAACCAACTGAAGAACAGTCCTCTCTCAGATGTTATATCTCCTGTGAAAATTTCAGATTGGGATTGAAATGGCCCAGGGAGGGGCCAGAGACAGCTATGAAAGAGCCACAGATATGGTGAGGAGTGTGTCTAGATGATCCAGACACCTGCGGGGATTGTGCAGAGCAGAGCTCTGCATCAGGCCACATGCAAAACATCTTGGGCATCTGCTGTCTGGGGTAGATGGTAGTTTGGAGAGTCCCCTGGCCCGATCTCCACCATTGCCTATACCAGGTGAGAACTGAAGCTCCATTCTCTGTGCTAACCTCTGGTCAGATTAATAATTCTATATAGCAGCCTGAATCCTACCAATATGATGACAAAAGTCTTTAATTATTTATTTATTTTTGAGACAGGGTCTCACTGTGTCTATCACCTAGGCTAGAGTGCAGTGGTGTGAACGTGGCTCACTGCAGCCTCAACCTCCCAGGCTCAAGTGATCCTCTACTTCAGCCCTTGGAGTAGCTGAGACTGCAGGCAGGCATCACCATGCCCAGTTAATTTTTGTATTTTTGTGGAAGACTTGGTTTTGCCATGTTGTCCAGGGTGGTCTTGAACTCCTAGGCTCAAGGAGTCCTCCTGCCTAGGCCTCCCAAAGTGCTGAGATTACAGGTGTGAGCCACCGTACCCAGCTGACAAAAGCCTTTATTCCTTTCTACCCTAAGACTAAATCCAACTCTGTGGCTTAGACTCAGAGTCCTCTGTGTTCTCACCCATTTGTCCCCTCTTCTTAACCTAAAGGATTGCCATGATATGGGAGATTTTGATGCCTGACAAGGGGTGGGGGAAGCAGAAAGGAGGAGCGAGTAACAAAGGCCTTCTCCAGAAGTGAGGGAGGCCAGCCTGGACACAGAGGGCCTGTGTGCTATGTTAGGGAGCTTGATCTTTATATAGAAGACTATTGCTTCAGAGTATGTTCCTTGGATCAATAAATCCATACATCTATATAGTTCTTACATAAGAAAAATAAAACAAACAAAAAGTTAACATGTTCTGGGTAACTTTGGGTATGGCTTGGTTAAGCAAAGTTGAATGTTTCTTCACTGCAGAATTTCTCAGAGCCTTTAATAAACTAATGTACATTCTTAGCCTCCAAAAGTGGGCAGCTCTGTCAAATCTGATTTGACCCCCATCATCTTAAAATGCAGGAGCAGGCCAGTCATGGTGGCTCATGCCTATAATCCCAGCATTTTGCGAGGCTGAGGCAGGTGAATCACTTGAGGTCAGGAGTTTGAGACCACCCTGGCCAACATGGTGAAACCCCATCTCTACTAAACATACAAAAATTAGTTGGGCATGCTGGTGGGCACCTGTAGTCCCAGCTACTCAGGAGGCTGAGACAGGAAAATCACTTGAGCCCGGGAGGTGGACGTTGCAGTGGGCCGAGATTGCACCACTGTACTCCAGCGTGGGCAACAGAATGAGACTCTTTCTCAAAAAAAAAATAATAATAAATAAATAAACAAAATAAATGCAGGAACATTTTAGGTGATTAGTGTTCTGAGAGGCACATCTGAGAAATGGTGTTATGGTTTATGGAAGCCATGGAAGGTGACATGGAGACTAGAGTCCAAACCTACCTCAAAACAACAGCTTGACCTTTCATTTTACATTTAATTAGAAAACAAAGAGAGGTCCTTCCACAAAATCCAGGAGTAAATTAAGCTATGGAACATTTAGAATTTAAGCATCAAGAAAAGATCAGAAGCTGGGGCATCTCTGGGCCTTAAAATGAGCTAGTTTCTTCTACACTGGGATTTAGAAGTTAAAGACTAATGACTTTACTGGGTCAGGGTTAAATGTCAAAGAGCAAGTCTTCCAAGGATGAAATGGTTAATGGTCACTGGGGTTGGAAGGGTGGTGTTAGAGAAGTGAAGGTAGGCACCCAGGGAAGGTCATCTGGTGTCAGAGCTACTGACAGGCTCAGGGGCTTACCCACAGGCTGCTGGGATAACCAAGTAGAAATTCACAAAACGTGGGAGGGAAACAGCCATGGTTCTTGCCTAAGGAGAGAAAAGGGACATCAAAGGCCAAAGATGACACTGATGATGACTTTAACTCCCATAATTACACAATGTCCAAACAAACAGTGACCTTGGGCTCTCGAACCAAATGACAAAAGTCAGTAGGACAGTTTGTGACGTCTTTGTCATCAAAACACTGGGTAGGTAAACTTTAAAGCCCCCGACAGCTTTTCCTCTATAGTATAGCAGGACTGTGATGGAAGGCACAGCTCACTCCAGCACTACGTGACCAGCACGTTCCTGGAGCCGAGAGAATGGTCAGGTCAGAAATCTTGGATGGGTTAAGGGTGGGTTGTGAGGGGTGATGAGAAGGGAGGAATCAGTTTGCATTCCTGGAGAGGGAGGAGAAATGAAAAGGCAGAAAAATAGGTTATTATAAGACACTCATGAGAGCCTATTTTGGTATTTGGCAAAGACACTTGCTTTTCCCAGGGGCTGAAATAATGTGATTTCGCTCCTGTGAATGAGATCTTCCTTAGGAACATTGAGGCTCAGAGAAAGGAGTAAGAGTTGGGAAATATAATCTGATTTTCAGGAAAAACAATTGGTTTCTGAAACATCTTAGGATGCTGAATAAAATGCACAGGTCTCTGCATGCCAGTGCCTGGCAGTGAGCCAAGTACTTGGTACGCTGAATGAATTAATGAATTAATGGAAGAACCAGAGTTATTTTTATCTTTCCACATCAAATTATTCCCCTTGAAATGACTGCTTAAATAATATATTAATTACATGATACTGATGATGACTTTACTCTCATGATTACACAACATCCAAACAAACAGTGACCTTGGGCTCCTGAGCCAAATGACAGCAGTCGATAGGACAGTTTTTGATGTCTTTGAGGTCAAAACACTGGCTAGGAAAACTTTAAAGCAGCTGACAGCTTTTTCTCTGCAGTATAGCAGGTAAGTGGTGACTTGGAAAAGCTGTATTTTTTTAAATCAAAATCATCATCCATGATTGGATCTTGAAGAATTGAAGAACCCAAAAGTGTGTGACGCAGTCCTTAATGAATATGTCCTCTACTTTCAGCCTCATGTTCTTTCTACAGGTTCTAATGTTAGTGTCTTCAGCCATCACTGTGAAGAAATTGACACAAATGAAAATTCATGAATTGCAGCTCTGCCATTTCCCTGTTGTGTGATAGCTGTATTTCCACTAGCAAGTGCAAGTGGCTTTAACTAAGATTTTATTGTCAAGCAGTTTACCCTGCTGTCAAAGTCTTGGGTCCAAAGATCTAAAGTAAAAGTGTCAGCGATGTTGCACTGCTGCCTGTATTTGGTGGGAAAATTAGCAGGTCTGGCTTTTGTGGTGAAAAAGGTATTTTTTAATAGTACTAAAGGCATAAGATATTTGGTCCCATGTTATTCTCTGGGTCCTTGTTAAGTATTTCTCTTTCCTCTTGCAACGTAGAGTGTGGGTGTGACAATGACCACCGCCTCCCGCTTGCTATTCATTTATTCCTTCAAATTACTCTTTCTTTTTTTCCATTATTGGAAAAAATGGCTAGTACTTATTTATTCTCTCAACACATTATTCAGTGTTCACTAGGTTCTGGGTGCAGCTTTAGGGTTTACCAGAAGTGGGACAATATTCAGTACTCTGTTCTTTCACATGTTAGTTTCTCTTTTCAGAAGTCCAAGATGATGATAAAAAAATAAAATAAAGAAGTCAAATGAAACAGAAATTGCAAATAGCAGTTACTCAGGAAACCAGAAAACATTGAGAAAGTCTGGAAAAATTGGATTTGAGCAAGGGCTTTCTGTATTTGCTTGGCAGTGTGGATGATACAAAGTTGTGAAGAACCTGGTAATTTTCCTTGCTACAATAATATAAATTACTTATTCTGTTCACATTTTGGCCTATTTCTCCTGTTTAAAATGAATTCCTTGAAGTTCATTTGTTTATAGTTTCAGCTTTTAAAAACATGATTAATATTATGATCATAAAAGTTCTACATGCTCATTGCAGAGCAGTATTAAAACATATAAATGTATGCATAAGGGAAAAAAATCACCTGCAATTTCTTCAACTAGAGATAATCACTGTTGAAATGTTGTATTCCCCTTCTAGTCATAACATACATCAATACTATTTGAGATCATGTTACATACTTTATATCTGTTTTCTAGGCTTCCCCCACCTCCCTTTTTTTTTTTAGACGGAGTCTTGCTCTGTTGCCAGGCTGGAGTACAGTGACACAATCTCGACTCACTGTAACCTTTGCCTCTTGGGTTTGAGCGATTCTACTGCCTTAGCCTCCCAAGTAGCTGGGGCTATAGCCACCTGCCACCACACCCAGCTAATTTTTGTATTTTTGGTAGAGACGGGGTTTTACCACGTTGGCCAGGATGGTCTCAATCTCTTGACCTGGTGATCTGCACACCTTGGCCTCCCAAACCGCTGGGATTACAGGCATGAGCCATGGCACACTGCCTTTCCCCCCTTTTTTTAAAGAAAAAGAACTTAAACCATTTTAATATACTATAAAATTCTTATTTTAAATTCTTTTCTAGCCTTGGTTGTTGTCCTAATGGTCACTCTTATATTGTGTGGACAATATGTAGGACCTGACTATGCTCAGCTTTATGTACATGCAGTAGGTTGCCATATGAGAATATGGGTAAGGAATTCTGTCTTTTAATGGCTCTGTTATACTTCACTATTGCTGTGGTGTCATTTGTTTAACTATTTTGCAGGAATTGGACTTGATTGTTTCCAGTTTTCTTATTTTATAAGTGGTGTTGCAAATGACCATCTTTGTATTGCATTTATTTTACTTAGAGATTGTTCCATGCACCATATTCCCAAAATGAAGTTACGAGGTTCATGAACATAAACAGATTTATAATGCTTTTTACCCATTTTGAGAAAGATTAAGCCTGATTAATACTGCTCTCATGTTGTCCGAATGTACTTGTTTGCACAAAGCCCCACTCCTGTCTAATTTAAGTCATTGATTTAGATTTTCTGCCTTTAATAGAGATCTAAAATTAATGGATTTGAATTTGCTTTTAAAAACTCTTACTTTTTTTTTTTTTTTTTGATATAGAGTCTCGCTCAGTTGCCCAGGCTGGAGTGCAGTGGCACGATCTCGACTCACTACAACCTCTGCCTGCTGGGTTCAAGCAATTCTCCTGCCTCAGCCTCCCTAGTAACTGGGTTTACAGACATGTGCCACCATGTCCAGCTAATTTTTTTTTTCTTTTTTCTTTTGTAGTTTTAACAGAGACGGGGTTTTACCATGTTAGATAGGATGGTCTCGATCTCCTGACCTCATGATCTGCCCGCCTCGACCTCCCAGCGTGCTGGGATTACAGGCGTGAGCCACCATGCCCAGCCTAAAAGATCTTACTTTTTTATAATAAGAGATACAATGCTTGCCATAAAAATGAGCAAATTAAATGAGTAAAAAGTTAATTATTGCCTGAAATAACAATACTTAAATAATGTGTTATCAGAAAATTAGTTTTACATTTTTATGTAATAAAATTTACATAAAGACTTTATATTTGAAAGAATAAGGATTACTTTTATTCTCATTTTCCCCATTTTTCTTAATATTCTCTCTAAATTGTCAGAGATTTTACATTTGTCAATGCCATTCACCTGCTTAGTCTGTTTCAAGACAAGCGTAAACGACAAGAGCAAAGGAATATTCTAGACCCTCAGAAGAAATTTCAAATGTCTGAGAAGGATCCTTGAATTTTGCTGCCCCAGAGAAAAGATACGTTATATTCTTGATCAAAAGTAGGTGTCTTGGAATGCACCGCATTTTTGCCCACATTGCAACCAAGGGCCTTCTGCCCAGGGTTCCAGGGGAGTGCTGGGAGTTGCCTTGAGTCTTAGCCACCTGACCAAGTGCACTGCCATAACGCATGGCCAGAGGTGCCCAGGAACATTAGCAGATTTTTGACTAAGCCTTTCTACTATCTCGGGACACCAATGAGGTCAAGGATCTTATTCCCAGAAATTTTATAGAACAAACACACACCTGCCCATAACATCACTGTTCAAAATCAATTAGGGATATTGTATGGGTCGATTATAAGTTTGTGAGGATGAATTTGGAAAAAAACATCATGGGGTCCCCCAGTCTAGGTGTATTTGATGGTATTCAATTCATTCAGGAACTCTCAAAGTGTAGCTAAGTACAAAGTTATAGAATCTTTAGAATCATTACTGCTAGACATCCTACAACCTGCTCAGAAGGCCACACCAACTTTCATGGGCAGTTGGCCATGCACCATGTATTTCACATAATTATTTTGTTTGTAACTAAAGAGAAACAGCTCTGTAATGGACAGTGTTGTTATCCATCTGCTGTGCCTTACATATGAGAAAACCAAGGCTCAGAGTTACCTAACTTGTTCAAGGAGACCATCAGCTAAGATTTTTTTTTTTTTTTTTTTGAGATGAGATGGAGTCTTGCTCTGTTGCCTAGGTTGGAGTGCAGTGGCATGATCTTGACTCACTGCAACCTCTGCTTCCCAGGTTCAAGTGATTCTCCTGCCTCAGCCTCCCGAGTAGCTGGGATTACAGGCACATGCCACTATGCCCAGCTAATTTTTGTATTTTTAGTAGAGGTGGGGTTTCACCATGTTGACTAGGCTGGTCTTGAACTCCTGACCTCAAGTGATCCGCCTACCTCAGTCTCCCAAAGTGCTGGGATTACAGGTGTGAGACACCACGCCCAACCAACTAAGATGTTAAGACTGGATCTATAACTGGCCTCACTCCCTCTACAGCTGGTGCATTGACCACTTCCTGCTGTTTTGTGCAGACACGCAGCAAAACAAGGCAGTCAGCAGGCACAACCCATGGATGCTTTTTTTCCCAGTGAACTCCAGTACACTTACAAGTGCTAATCATCTGAAATGGTGCGAATTATGGAAAAACACAGAAAAAAAGCCATCAAAGATTATTGGAGTGAAGATGCAGTAGGAGGGTGTGAAGGGTTGGGAGGAGGGAAGTCAGGTCTCTCTGATGCTGAGATTCTGAAAGTGAGCTCACCATGGTTGGTCTCATTCACAGACCGTCTTACCTTTGGCCTTTTTTCATCCTGAGAGTAAACTCTATAATGTTTTAAGTCTCTCTACCAACAAGGTAGAAGAGTTTGAACTCACATTGGCCAAAGGGGCCTGCCACAAGGGAAAAATTCTTTGAAACCAAGCAAATTTTTACATCATGCTCTATTGTTTGTTTGTATTTCTATGTAAATGTTATGGTTTAAACTACCATGTTTCTCTGATTATAAATGTAATCATTTATAGGAGTTTCCATTGATTTTATAACAGCATTGGGATAAGGGAAACTACATTCATTATGAGACACATTCCATTTTCAGAAAACTTAAAATATGGGAAAATGTATAATTAGAACGGAGGAAATTCAGGAAGATTTTGCTGTTCGTGGAAGATGTGTCATGTTTCTGTTGGGGCTAGGCCAGGCTTCTGGTATCTATTTGTGTCCACATGAGAGTAGGCACGTATTTCAGTATGTGGTGCAAAGTCTCAGATGTGTTCTTGGGTGACAGGGATGCGGGCGGTTGGGGGTAAAAAGTGTAAGGAATTGCCCATGGCTGGCTCCTTCTGCCTCCCTGACATCTGTTGGGATAGGGTTTCTCGACCTCGGCCCTATTGGCATTTGGGTCAAAATAATTCTTTGTTTTGGGGGGTGATTTGCAGCAAAACCAAAAATGTGTCCAGACATTACAAAATTGCCCCTGGCTGAGAACCACTGTGTTAGGGCAAAAGAGAAACGTTGGAAGAGGTGGGCCAACACAGATCCTTTGATTTCAGGATTTTTTATTTATTTTATTTATTTATTTAGTTAGTTTTAAGAAACATAGTCTTGCGTTGTCACATAGGCTGGGTACAGTAGTGTAATCGTAGCCCACTGCAGCCTGGAACTCCTAGGCTTCAAGGAATCCCTCCACCTCAGACTTCCTGGTAGTGGGGACTCCAGGTGTGCACCATCATGCCTGGCTAATTTAAAAAAAAATTTTTTTTTTGTAGACACGGGGTCTTGTTATATTGACCAGGCTGGTCTCAAACTCCTGGTCCCAACCAATCCTCTCTCCTCAGCCTCCAAAAGCCCTGGGATTACAGACAGGAGCCACTGCACCCAGCTAAGACTTTCTTTTTATATCAGAAGGCCTCTTGTCCCAGTATGCCACTAATAGGATACCTTTGCCATTTGGTAATAGATTTGTGTTTTGGTCTTCTATCTGTATAACGATCAGACCCAAGGGTTTCTAGGGACTCTTCTAGGCATGAAACTTTTCTCAGTAGTTGCCAGGATTATAGGATTTTTAACCAGTGGTACCATTCTAACAGTGCTGTCTGTTGAAATCCTCCCTCCTTAAAGTTTAAATGTATATTAATATTGCACTAAGTCCTATGATCATACTCTTTATTCACTTAACATCCTTTCAAGGGAGGCTTTGGCCTGTAATTGAAATAGGAGTAAGGAGTCACTGGGAGCCAGCGGGGCAAAAGCACAATAATAATAAATGCCTAAATACTATTTAACATGCAATTAATTAAATATCAACATGGTCTGTTGATGGTAGAAAGGTGACAAGACTTTCTTCTTTTCTGAAGGTCTAGCTCATGTCCACCCTTGCTATTAGGGATATTTGCCAAGGATCATTGAAAGAAATTTTGATCATCTGAGGTGGGAATTAATCATTTGTCTTCGAGCTCTCTATTAGAGACTCACATATTTTAATGTAGCTAAAATTTATTGGAAACCCTATTGTGCTCTTAATAGGTGATTTAGCAGTGAGGAAACAAGTTCCAATTCTGTTCTCAAGAAGGGTACAGTCTAGTGGGGGATGATGCACATCCATCAATCACACAGATCAACAGGGAGTTAGACTTTTTCAGTTAGGTCAGGGAAGCTTCCTGGAGGAAGCAACATTTGATTCAAGATTGGAAGGATGAGCAGGAGTCTGCTAGGTGAAGAAGAGAAGCTGAGGCATTGCTTCTGTGCATTTGTATGAACGGTTAGGGGAGTGGAAACCTTAAGAGCAAAGAGACAAGAAAAGGAGAATGTCATCCCAACCCCATCTGTCTCTATCAGAAGGTTTCTAAACAGCCACATTCACTCCATTCTAAGTCACCCTTAGTTGTAAATTGCACTCACAATGTAATAATAGTTTTTCAAGTAAAAAGAGACATACTATAGTAGATAAATGTTGATATTGACTATAATATGCATCCCAATTTCAGAAATGTTAAATCTTAAAAAAAAAGCCTATCTTAGAAGCAAGGACATAAGATATCAAAATTCAAAGTCGGTCTTGAAATGATTATTGCTATTATTGTCATTGCTTTTATATTGAGGTCTCTGGTTGTCACTGCTGGGACAGTTTTCATTGGCCATCTCTGCTGCCCAGGCACATGCTTCCCCACCACATTGATAGGATCTCTTGCTTCCTGCTCAAACCTCCCCTCTTTTCTCCCCAGCTCCTTAATTCCCAATCCCTTGAGTTCCCATTGATTTCTCGCATGGTGCAGTTTAGCCATGCATGAACTCACTGCCAACCATCTCAACCTAACCCTCTGAAATGTATCCAGTAAGGTGTATTACAAAACAAGGGCAGCTCTCTCAGTGCAGTGAGCATGCCCTGAGACAGCTTGCAATTCTAGACAGGGGTGAGAATATCAGGAGGAGAAATTGTGCCACTCCTTTGCAGAAGGGAACTGGGGCCTTACTGCTTTCTCAAGAGGCAGCATTGGAATGGCTTCTAGAAAGATGGGCTTGGCCTTGGGATGGTGAAAATGCTCTCTGTCTGTGACCTCTGGGGCTCAGCCAAGGCAGGGATGGATAAAGAACTAACCTGCCCTGCCTGCCAGCCAAAAATAGTGCTAACTGCGTCACAGAGCTTTTGGTAATTAAACCTTCCCTCTGCAGAAAGCTGTGGCTTGGACTGATAAGGGACCGTGGATGTGTTAAGGTAATTCACTCCCAACACTGACATTCTTCACTCAACATCAGAAGCAGGCTGGAAAACTAAGTGGAACTAGATGAAGTTTGAGATTCATAACCAGGGCATGGTATGTAAGTAGCAAAAAGACAGAACATGTGCCAACAAAGTTTCTTATAGATTAAGTAGTTCTTTGTTTTTACTCTGAGTCATATGGACTTTTTTCCTTTTTGGTCAGTCAGCTTAGTTAGCAACTTTGTTTCTGATCATAAAAATGCTTCATTTTTGCTGTAGAAAGTTGGAAACATAAAGGAAAGAAGCAATAAGGAAGTAAAAACCCATCCATCATCTTATCATTCACAGATAGCCACTAGGAACCTTTTGTGTCCACTTTTTTCTCGATGCAATGTACAATTTTTATAAAATTATGATCAGGGCCAGATGCGGTGACTCACGCCTGTAATCCCACCAATTTGGGAGAATGAGGTGGGTGGATCATGATGTCAGGAGTTTGAGACCAGCCTGGCCAATATGGTGAAACCCCGTCTCTACTAAAAATACAAAAATTAACAGGGCGTAGTGGCATGCACCTGTAGTCCCAGCTACTCAGGAGATTGAGGCAGGAGAATCGCTTGAGCCTGGGAGGAGAGGGTTGTAGTGAGCCGAGATTGTGCCACTGCACTCTGGCCTGGGCAACAGAGCAAGACTCTGTCTCAAAAAATAAATAAATAAATAAAAATAAAAAATAAAATAATAATCAGAGTATATCTGCAGTTTTCTGTCTTACCTTTTAAATGTACACACAATATACTCCCAATCATACTGTATCTGATGGGGTCATTCAATATTACTTGAAAACCAGACTGTTTTTAGCTTATAAACCTCCTTAGGGCCTGAGCTGAGTGGGGTGAAGTATCTGGGAGAACACACGTCCATGTCAGTAGGAAAGTGCTCTGGTCTGGAGTGTTCTTCAGACAGGATCCATGGTCCCAGGAGAAACTGACATGCTGTCTGGGAAAGCAGAGATGTTCTGGTCATTTTGGGAGGCAGAGAAGGAGTGGGAAGTTCACTGGGGAGAGCATTATGCAGAGAGAAGAGCATGGGCTCGTAAGTAAAGCATTCCTGGCTTGGATTCTGTCTCTGGCACTAATCAGTTGCCTGATCATGGTTAGCCTACCTAATCCTCTAAACCTCAATTTTCTCACTTATAAAGTGGGACTAATGGTATTATGTATTTCACTGGGTTATTGGAGGATAGTACCTGACTCAGAGTAAGTACTCAATGAATGTTAGCCATCATTAGTATATTATTTTTATTAATCTCTCCAACAAGGACTGGGTCAGCTGATTCTATTGGATGAGGATAGTGGGTAGATGGGTTCACTCTTTAAGATAATCTTTAAAAGGAAGTAAAAATATTGGTGGCTTTTAGTATTAATATGTTCTCTCAGAGAGAAGGTGTATTTAAAGTTTAGGGGAGTCAGAAGAATGAAATCTTAAGGCTCCTTCCATTTCATTTTCCAGACCATGAATTGAGGACACTTCAGTGCCTGGTAGGAGATTTGGGTTCAGACCAACAAGCAGCTCCAATCTCAGCCCAGGCATCTTCCTAATCAGGCTTGATGGGCAGCTGCAGCTATAAGTATTTAAATAAATCATCAAAGGGTTTGTTGCATCAGCCAAGCTTTTTAGAGTCCCAAATTTAAAAGCTGAGATAAAATCTTATCTTGCTGTGTCTTTACGGAAGGATCCCCAGATACCTGGGGTTAAGGTCTGGCTCAAGTCAGGACCTAGGAAGCAGCATATGTTGACTGGAGAGACCTGGGTTTGAATCCCAGCTGTGCATGTTATTAGTTATATGACCTTGGGCAAGATTCACAACCTTAGCCCTTCTTTACCTTCTCACCCTAATCTGGGGTAAACATTTGTACCTTTTGGGGTTGTTGCAAGGATTAAAAGAGGCAAACTCTGTGACAATGCCTAGCTCCATGCTGGACTTAATATAAATGCTCAATAAATTTTGACACCATCTTCTATCCCCCATATCCTACAAGATAAAACAAGACAGAATGAGAAAGTGCTTAGGTTTCTTCATCTGTAAAAAGGTAATTGGAAAAAGAAAATTAAAGGCAGAAGCTCACTCAGCCTCTAGGGTCTGGGAGATGTCTTCTTGTTGTTTAAGTTTTAGTCTGTACTTTCTAAAAACCAGTAGTGGGCCTCTGGCATTTCCTGGCACATCTTAGCAGATAGGTATTGAATATATACCATGTGCCACAGTACTGCGCCCTTTGTATGGGTGATCTCATACAGTGCTTTCATTTCATGGAGGAGAAAAACTGAGGCTCAGAGACATGAAGAAACTCACCCAAAGTTTCTTAGCTGTTAAGTGGTGGAGCTGGGATTGGTACCTAGGTCTCTCTGTCTCGGAGCCCGTGTTTGTAACTACCCCGAACATAGGTCTCTAACCATATAGGACTCCTACTCCTTGCTGGAAAACATAAGTACAAAACAGACAAGAATGGCCTTTTCAATTACTAAACTGTAAGCCCCCTGAGCCCAAAGACTGTGTGTTCCCCGCTCAATCCCCTCCCAGGCATGCAGCTAATAGGAAACCCTGGAGACATACTGGGAATCTAAGAATCTGGGTTAGGATTCCTTTGAAATGCAGATGTCCTGTGAGAAGTAAGCACCTGATTTCTTATATACCTGAGTTCATTAGATACTTATCTTTGATATGGGAGAGAGTAGAGCTTTCTCAGATACCTGGGTGGCTAGCTGCAGCGAAAGGACTGAAAATCTGGAGGGGAAGAGCTCTTCTCTCTCTTTATTTTCTCACTAACGGAAGGGAGTAAAAGGCAGAGGAAGTGGGTCTGAGATGAGGAAGACAGTACCACAGGGTTCATAAGATGTACACATCAGAATTCCTGGCTTGCAGGCCCTGGGCATTGGCTGGACAAGGTTTGTTGGTCTCTAGGGCACAGAAAGAATCTATGCCTCCGAGGATTCATAGAAAATTACCACTTCCTCTGTCATTATCTTTTATTTATTATTCTCTGTGATCTGTTGGTCTTTGATTCCCTTTGTATTTTTGATTCTTTTGTGATTCTCCCTTTCGATTTGGCGCTGGTTTTTACCCTGATCTCATCTGTATCGTCCACACCTCAATGCAGGCTTCCCGCGCCCCTGCCCGGGCTCCCGCAGTGCCCCCATCTACATCCCTGCCTCCAGTCTTGTTCATTGCTGCTGCCAGATTCACCTCCCTCTATGTCCACCTGTTTTGGAACCTTGCCACTCCCATCCTGCTCTGAGCTTTTGCTCTGTATTTCCTCTGCCTGATGTATCCTCTCCCCTTTCCTCTTCCAACCAAAAGAAAGTCTACCTATAGCCTTCCAAACTCAGCACACATCCTTCTCCTTTGGGAACCTGTTCCCAATGATTCCCTCAATTTCTCTGTCTTTTTTTTTTTTTTTTTTTTTGAGACCAGGTCTCGGTCTGTCGCCCAGGCTGGAGTGCAGTGGTGTGAGCTCGGCTCACTGCAGCCTCCACCTCCTGGGTTCAAGCAATTCTCCCACCTCAGCCTCCCGAGTAGCTGGGATTTACAGGGGTGAGCCACCACGCCTGGCTAGTTTTTGCATTTTTAGTAGAGACAGGGTTTCACCATGTTGGTCAGGCTGGTCTGTAACTCCTGACATCAGGTGATCTATCCGCCTCAGCCTCCCAAAGTGCTGGGATTACAGGATGAGCCACCATGCCTGGCCTCTGTCTTCTTAATTCTAGTAGTGCTGATGTGTGCCTACATCAGCTGGTCATGTGCTTCCTCCCCTCTGCTTAGGGCATTGTTTACCTCTTGGACATGACTTCTCACCTGTTTGCTTTCCTCCCATCTATGTCAGGAGTTCTTTAAATTTAATATTTCTTCTTCATTTATTGAGTATCTGCTACATGCGAGCACCCTATTGAGGGTTGAGAAACAAAGAGGAATTATTAGGTTTGCTCATCAATAAATAATTGAGGTGAGACCCTTAGAAATGTGTGTCCATTGGCCTGCTTCAATTTTAGACAGTTTTTTCACCAACTCCAGGGGAGGCCAAGCCAAGCATGCCTCTGGCTCTTGCATTCCACATGTCTCTTATTAAAAACAGATGGCCCAGGACTGCTTTGGCCATTGCACCAGTTGACAGGCCTGTTCCTGGGGAGGCTCTGCTTATGAATTCTAGAATCCTTTAGCTGCATTAGTAACAATTCCTCCTGCAGAGCAATGAGGGGATAGTGTCTGTGGGCTGGGCACTTTCCATGAATAAGAAAGGCCTGAATTCAACCCAGGTGCCGCCCAGACTTGTCACATGGAGCTTGGCCTCAGGCAAGGCCAAAATGGGAAGCTAGCTTCAGAGGAAGAGGTCCCTTCTGCCACTTCTGAATTCCTGAAGCTCACAACAACCAGCTTCTTTGTCCTCATTTTTCTTAGGAACAAATGTATTCATTTAACAAACATTTGTGGCTGAGTGTGGTGGCTCACACCTGTAAACTCAGCTCTTTTGGAGGCCAAGGCAGGAGGATTGCTTGAGGCCAGGAGTTTGAGACCAGCCTGGGCAACATGGCAAGACTTCATCTGTATTTTAAAAAATTGCTGAGCACAATGATCTCTGTTTTCCCAGTGCCTGCCTGGCTCAGGGCCTGGCACCGAGGTAAATACAACTGCTGCTCTAAATAAGCTCATCTCTAAGAAATGAAATGAATGCAAACTATTGAAAGCAAGGAAGGCAAATACGGGCATGCATATGTCCACTTCTTAATTTTGTGTCCACGGCAGATACTGCTAATTAATCATAGAACTCATTCACTTTGAATCTGGATTTAAGTGAAGATTCAGCCTTGGAATCCTTCTGAAAACATTGCTCCAGCAGCCACTATCAGTGATTTGGACTTTGCCCATGAGATGAAATCTGCTTGTGATCCTTTTTCTGGTCTTTAAAGTGGTCCAAATGCCACTGGAAGTGGGGAGCAGGGGTTCAAAACAGCAAGTATATTGAATTACCATGTCTGTCCAGAGCAGACTAGGAGACTCCATTCATGGGAGTGTCCAAAAGTAACACCGCTATTGCAGAAGCCCTGACCATTGCTCCTTCGCACTTCTTCTCGCTCTCATGGCTCCTTTCTGTCTGACTTTTGTGGACTCCTCTTCCTCCTCATACCCCTCAGAAGTGGCTGTTTTGCAGGGTTAAACTCTTATCCCTCCCAAACTCTTTTTTCTTGTCTGTTTTCTCAGTTGGAGAGCTAATTTCTTCCCTCAGCTTTTTCTAGCTTTTTAAAGTAGTTAACTGTCAAATCTGTATCTTCAGAGATGTCTTTTTCCAAAGTCTAAACTCCTCCCTTTGGCACTGAAGCACTTCCACCATCTGACCCTATTTATCTTTCCAGTCCCCTTTCCAGTCCCAGCTCCTTGCCTACAGAACTACTGCTGTGAGCACGAGGTCTTCTTCCATCCTGTGTCCAAGATGTGGGGTACCCATGGGGAGTCCTGCTCCCATGCCTTGGCACATGCCCCTGCCCTGCCCCTCTTCTCTGTTTGGTCTGTCATATCCATCCTATGAGTCTCCGCTTCACTGTCATTTCACTGAGAAAGCCCTTTCTGACTTCTTTATGATTTCAGAGGATAATAAGTGCCATGAGCAGAGGATCTTACTAGCTTACGCTTTGAGTCACTCAACAAACAGTTATTGACTGCCTCCTCTAAGTCCCTGGCGTATATGACGTGAACCTGCCCTCAAAGAGCCTACAGTCTGTTTACATTTCTGTCATTAGTTACTCTTGTTTATAGGTCATGTCTCTGCCATTAGATCGAATGCCTTGTGGTCCAGAGCTGAGTCCCAGTCACTGTATCCCCTCAATCCCCTGGGTATGCCAGATGCTCAGCACATCCCGAGTTGAGTGAAAGGCAGCTTCTTTCCCTGTCTGGTTTGCTGGTGGCTCTTTTGAGTGTGTGATTCTTGGGGAGGCTCATAAAGGGTTGCAGAGCTGGCAGGGGAAGGAGTAGCCCATGGAGACTAAGGGAGGAAGAAGTCCCTGCTCTATGCTTGACCCCAGAACAGCAGGAGGTGGGATGGAAATGGATGCCTCAAATGGAAAGCAGCCATGGCTAAGATGCATTAAGAACATGGGTCTAGGGGAGGGATAGCATTAGGAGAAATACCTAATGTAGATGATGGGTTGATGGGTGCAGCAAACCACCATGGCACATGCATACCTATGTAACAGACCTACACGTTCTGCACATGGATGCCAGAACTTAAAGTATAAAGAAAAAAAAAAAGAACATGGGTCTGCGTTTTAATTGTTGCAGCTCTTATGCTTAATGATTGTGAGACCTTGAGCAAGTTACTTAATTTCTCTGTGACTTGGTGTTCTCACCTGCAAAATGGGTCTTAAAACAATGTCAACTTTATAGAGAGGTTGTGAGGTTTAACTAAGAAAATGAGTTAAAATGAATATAAAACATTTAAAATAATTATTGGTACAAGCATTGGCTATTACTTAGATTTTCCTGGCAGTGGGATTTACTGGTGATTTTCATATTCATCATTGTATTTTTCTGTAGACAAAATGTATATTATTTAGCTCATCTGGAAAATATATTGTAAAACTATTTCTTTACCTTTTTTTAAGAGACAGGGAAAGAGTCTGGTTGGTGAAGGGGTTATAGTTAACTCTGGTAACCTCTGCCCCAGGTGCTGTGTGGGTATTTCATGGTGTGATTGGTGTGGGGAGGTAACCTTCAGCTCCCCGTCTTCTGCCTGTCCCCATCACTGGTCCCCCTCCAGTCCCAACAGTCAGATGCTCACAGTGGCGGTGCTGACCTTTCTGAATGGTGCAATTATTGGCGCCCAGTGAGCCTTGCACATGGAACAGGGAGTGAAATCACCCAGCACTTCCTCTGCAAAGAGGATGTGATCTTCAGACAGTGCAATCACAGGCAAGTGACCTCAGTTTCCTCAGAACTCAGCAGAAGGTTCTGAAAGCTGGAAGGCCATTTGCAGAACCCAGGAGAGAAAGGAGGGAAGACAAGGCTGGGTTTGCAAAAGCAGGAGCAAGGTCTGCACGTTTTATGAAGTGTTTTACAGTGGAGCTGTAATTGGAACCCTGGTATTTAGCAAGAGTTATGAGGTGTGATGGTCTTAGCACTGCGAGTCCTTTGGCGGCATATGTGATACTGGCATGAAACAGGCCAAGCATCATGGACTGGATTGCTTGGGTTCAGCATGCTGCTTAAATCGGCTTGTTTATTATTTTTAAAAGGACTATTTTTTTTTACTCTTGGGGCATTCAAAACTCCACTTAGAGACAAACCAAAAATATTTCTCAGTTACGTGCTCACTGTTTGAATCAGAGCTGCTAAGCCTAATTGGTTGGTCCAATTCTCTTACTACCTTCTGGAGATTAAAAGCTCCTCTAGCTCACTTCCAAATCAGAGTGGATGGAATTTGATCCAATCCAGGTGCTCAGGGCTCCAGAAGCCCTTCCTGTTACAGAGAGGGTGAGTGAGCAGGCCGAAGATTGTGCTTTTTATTGCTCGAAGATAGTTTCCTAGTCCTTGAAGCTGAGAAAGCAGGAAGGGTCTCCCATTCTTTTTGAAATTCAGAACAAGCACATTGTCTGAAGAGGGAGGTTGGCCTTCTTTTTGTCTTTCACCATGTGAGGGATGGCAGCCAGGACTCAGCCTTTTGGAATCACAGAGCCATGTCAGAAGCAACAACTGGTTGGAGTAGAACAAAGGATCTTAACTAGGGGCTGTGGGTAAAGGTCTTCCGGGGTCTGAAATTGTAAGGAAAGTTTGTCTGTATGTGCATTTTCAGGGGGAGAGTTCCATAATCCCATCAAGCATGCACTCACAGAATTTGACCTGTGCACTGTGTAGTGAGAGCTTGCTACTATTTGTAGCATATACCAAGCTTGCTTCTGCCTCAGGCCTTTGCACTTGCTGTTCCTTCTCAGAATACTTTTCCCCAAGATCCACATGGTCACTGTAACTTTCTTCAAGTCACTGGTTAAATGTCACCTCCTGACCACCTTATATTAAATATCCCGCTCAACAGTACATTGCTTCATTGTTCTTTACAGTGCTTATTCCATATGACATTGTTTGTTATTACCTCCCTCTTTCAGTATGTAAGCCTCTATGGTATTCACTGCTGTATCTGTAGCATATAGAACAATGCCAAGCCCAGAGAAGATGCTCAGCAAATGTCTGTTGAATGGGTAAATGCATGAACAAATTAATAACTTTGATTATACTTAGGTCTCACCTGTAAAAAAAAAAAGTTTTAATGATGGGTAAAAAAGGATCTGAGTTCTCAGTGGGGCCACTTCTCAGCCATGTGTCTTGGGTTCCAGACATTTCATCTGCTATGAAATGATCACCTGACATTGTAATAGATGTTTAGGCAGAAGTTTTCAAGGGATTTCACAATGCTTGTACATCATTATTAATTTCTGTTTTTCGAATACACCAGATCTGTGTGTGTGTGTGTGTGCCTGTGTGTGTCTGTGTAAAAATGTGTGTGTGTGCCTCTGTGTGTGTGTCTGTGCACATCCTGGTGCACAGATACTATTATTATTATTATTATTCTGGTGCACAGATAATAGGTTATCTCCATTTGAAAATGGGGATGCTAATACTACTGCTACTGATGTGCTAGGGTAGGTCCCCAAATTCCCAGGGGACCTCCATCCTGGTTGGTGTCCAGGCTCTTGACACCAGAGCCAGAAGGAATTCAAGGACTAGTCAGGAAAATAGTGAAAGTATGGAGAGTTATTGCAAGTGAAAAGTATACACTCAAGAAAGGGGAGTGTGTGTGTACTCAAGAAAGTCATGCCCAGTGGGGTTTGCGGCTTCTAACTTTACGAGTTTCTTTAACCAAGGAGTGGAATATTCATGAAGGTTCCTGGAAAAAGGTGAAGATTTCTCAGAACTGTGGTGCCACCCATTTTTACACCAAATATGGTTGTTTCGGAACTGTCATGGTGCTGGTGGGTGTGTGATTTGGTATGTTAATGAGTGTATAATGAGGTCCTAGGTGAAACCTAGGTCAAATCCAGTGCTATGTTGGGTCCAGTCGGTCCTAGCCAGCTTGTCCCACATCCTGTTTTTCAGGGTCTTTTATCAGCCCCTAGCCTATGCTGCTAATTCAACAGTTTCCTTTTTGCTAGTTTTGTGAAACTGCTTCTATTCTCCTGCAACCACCCTGTATTATTCCTGTCTCACTACTGACACACCAGTGTGGTTTTTGTGACTTGTCTGAAGCCTCACGATGTATCAGAGCAGGATAGTGATAGAAGTCCCTCTTGCAAACTCCAGTTCCACTCTAGAACCATTAGTGTTCCATTCTGGAAAAGATGTCCTAGTAGTTGAATATAGGTGGTCAAGACCAACTTGGGGCTAGTATTTTCTGACACATGAACTTGAGTGTGAATGGGATATAATTGCGTCTGCTACTGAATGTGTAGGGTTAAAGTTCAGAAAAGAGATGCTGCATTCTTCTCTAATCTTATAAAATTTCATTTTATTTTTTTAATTTTATTTTTTTGAGACAAGGTCTCACTCTGTCGCGCCCAGGCTGGAGTGCAGGGGAGTGATCACTGGTCACTGCAGCCTCAACCTCCAGGGCTCAAGCGATCCTTCCACCTCGGCTTCCCAAAGTGCTGGGATTACAGGCATGAGCCACCACACCTAGCCATTGTTCTCTAATCTTACATGAGGCAGCAAAAGTTACCCCACTAGAAATTATTATGCTGTGGCTCCTTTTGAACCAAGGCAAAAAAAACAAACAACAAACAACAACAACAACAACAAAAAAAACACTCATTTGAGAGGTACATTACATCTGAGAGAAATAAACTCTGGTCTCTTCTAGACAAACTGCTTTGATTTTCAAGCATAAACCTCAGACTCATTTTGGGCAGAAAGTTACTTTTTGTCGGTATCTGCATCGGGTGAGCTTGGAGGTAAATCTTCACACAGAGCTTAGTACATCCTGGATAACTTCCTTTATAAATGACAGCTTCTTAGACTCATCTTTTAAAAGTTAATATTTTTCTTGTTAAAACAAATGCTGTCTTCTTCCAAACATCTTAGATGGCTGATTCACCATTTCTTAAAAGTAGTTTTAATTGTACAGCATGATACATTTATATGCATTATTTTAAACGTAAAAGCCTAGCAAAAACCCTACAAAAATATATAAGAATCTCCATTTACACACCTGTCTGCAAAACCCTCATCCATTCCCAGAGGTAATCCTTGCCTATCATTTTTTAACTTTTCTTTCCAGAATTTCTTTCCAAACATTATAAATATACACATGCATATGCAATTTTCAACTTCTTAAATACATCTTAGATATTTTTCCATATCAGTTCATATAGCAATGCATCCTTCTTTTTAACAGGTCCATACACTTTCATTGCATCAAAATATATCAGAATTTATTAAGCACTCCTCTATTGATGACATTTAGGTTATTACTCAGTTTTTTACTTTTATAAACAATTCTGCAAAGAATCGACATCTTTGTGAACATACATCCACATTTCTCAAGACAGATGTTAAGAAAAACATTTTGGGATGTGAAAAGGTATTACATATCTTAAATTTTGATAGAAACTACCAAACTTACCCCCAACACCCAATACCGGTTTGGACTCCCATGTTAAATTTACCTGTCCTTGGCAATCACAGATGTTGTCAACTTTTTAAAGATGTTTTGTCAATTTGATGGCAAAAATTGGTGTTTTCACTTACTCTGCCCTGATTGCTAAGGTAGTTGAGAGTGTTTTTTGCATGCTGCTTGTGATGTTCTATACCTTATTAGGTTTTTTTAAAAAAATATTTTTAAATTATACTTTAGGAAGCGGAACATCACACACCTTATTAGGTTTTTAACAGGGTTTTAAACATTTTCGTGAATACGACTATTTCAGAAATGCTTCTTCTCCAGGGTTGCTATGCAGCTGGTAGTTAAAATATGCCTTCATTTATTAGTATTGGTAGGTAGTAAATACTTAAATACTTGTTGGTAAGGTGCGCCAACCCAAGTTCACTTTCCTCGATCTTAAGTCTCGTTACCCCCACTTCTCCCCTCTACCTCTCCGGCCTGGGACCTCCCTAGGAGGCAACAATTAAGAGGTTAATATGTAGCACTTCGGGGCGAACCTGAACCTTCCAGAGGCTGCTCTAATGCAGTTCCAGCCTCTATTCAGATAGTTTGGCATATTGATATACCATTTAAAAAATATTTTGACAAGTCCCTTCCCCGCTGTCAACCAAATGTACTCAATCTGTGTTTTATGTAAGTTCCTGGCGTCTGGGAGATTCACAGTAACATACTGCTGGTTTGCTCCTTGAACTGGTCACTGCTTTGTTTGTCAATTTCTCAGGATTATGCTTACATAATTTCCTTTTGACCTTAGCCTCCACACCATAATCCCAGGGGGCACACTGGGGGAATAAGATGACCCTTATGTAACTTGTTACATAAGAGTCCAGAGAAGCTGGGTCTCACTTCAGTGTCTGCACAGTTTTCTAAGAAAGTTCATTTAGTTTTCTGTTGTCTCTTTCAATCAATAAATTCTTTAAAAAAGCATTCCCTTTACTTCTGAGATGCCAAAGGGGAGGGGGGAACCAGGCCAATACTGATTGCTTCTTTGTAGTTGGCACTTAATGGAAGTGATCCCATCTAATTTACGCTACAATCTTTTTCCTTTGTATGGACAAGGAAACTGAAGCTCTCAGGGACTAAAGTGAGTGGCTGAGGATCATACAGCTAGAAAGGGGTAGAAGTAGGCTTTAAAGCCAGACACAGGTTCTTCCTACAGAATATGTGTGTGATTCAGAATTGTGCAGGACAGCTCTGTTTCATGTCCTATTCTTTTGAAGTGATAGACATTGTCCACTGACTATACTAAAGCAGATAGGGAGCTCAGATCATTCCATGGACTTCAAGTCCCTTAGAGGCCAGACTGTGGACAGCCCTTTTATCTCTGTGCCAGCGTTGCCCTGCCCTGGCTCCAGCAGTGCCCAGATGGACTAGAGGCCTTTGTGGCCTGTATTTTGGACTCCTTCCTATCACCCTTTGCCCTTTACCTCTGGCTTGGCACTGAGTTGGGGCAGACACCAAAGGAACAGGTCTCATGTAACATCTTTTCCTGACATGAGCTGGGTCCCGTTGCTTCTTCTCTCTGCTCAGAGAAGTGACACGTGAGCAGAGAGCTCATGTCAGTGTGTCTGCATGGCTGGTATTACAAAGCCTCAAGGAAAAAAGCTTAACAAGAAAGCCTGAGGAAATGGGGTTTTGGTCATTTAAATTTTAGGGTCATTGAGGGATGAAGCCAAGAGGGCTTTGTCGTTAAATATATTTTTGATAATTCCCTCTTATTTTTAATCCTAACATTGAAAAAGCAATAAATGCACATAGGAAAACATTTAAACAGAGCTAAGGAGAATACAGTGATCTGTGAGTCACCCTCTCATTTGAGATACCCATTTTCTCAGTTCTCCCTAGAAGCTGCTACTCTCAGCAATATTCTGTGATCTTTCCAGAAATATTACTTGTAATCTCTATATATACAATTATACATGTATATATTTGTGCTTATCAATCTTCTGTGTGTCCAATATCCATCCCTCCATCCATCCATCTGCCCATCCAACTTATGCTCAACTCTCATGGTTGAAAATCATTAAAAAATGCTTGAATCCATTCTCTCATTTGATGTGGTGTGTTGAGACCAGTGGACCCCTGACAGAGGGTCCTGTGAGTCACCAGGATCCCTATCTGAAACCCAGTCCTCATGATAAGGTCCTCCAGCTGGTAAAGGTGTAACATTGAGCCACACACTAACCAAACATCTCCCTGAGAGATTCTGTTTCCATACCCTGCACTGCATGTTTCCTTCTGGAGTCTGTCCCCTTCAAAGCAGAGTATAAGAAGATGCCCTGTGGAACGGATAGTTCCAGTTAGGTTTGATTTTATGAAATCTCTTCTTCAGCAAAATCTGTCCTGACTGACTCCTTGACACAGAAGGGCCCTGACCCACAATCTTGTTCACCGCATTGAGATTCCCTGATTCCATGTTTCTTGCTGAATGACTAAATATCCCAACAGAGGGAGGTCAAGTTTCTCCCCAGCAAAAATTTTTCCCAGTTAAATGGCAAGAATGAAGAGCTGACAAATGGCTATGACATCACTCTTTGTCATAACTTGCCCCAAATTACTGCATGAGAAGCCAGTACTCTACTGGGTCTTGCCATGGGACAGTCATAAGTAGAAAACAAGATGATCCCCCAAAGAATTGCCCTTTAGAGAGCAATTCAAAGACAGGAAAATCACCCGTTGGTTGTGTCCCTGCTTCTAGCCAGATCTTCTAGAGAGCTCTAGATGCTGACCCCTTCATCTTGAAAAGCTCAGTGGAGACCTGGGTCCTAGCCTCTGCCACTTACTGGTTATGTGATCTTGATCAGGTGTATCTTAGTGGGTAAAGTAATTGTGTCTATTTCAAAGGACTGTTTTGTTTTAGTTGCAAGTGAGGGAAGCCTACCTTAGTCTGACTTAAGTGAACTAGAGAATATATCAGCTTGTTAACCAAAGAGTCTAGAGATAACTTTAGGTGTATCTGGATCTAGGAGCTAAAATCTTATTATTAGGACTGATTCTCTTTCCATATCTCCTTGTCCTCAAACAAAGGCAGGTCATTCCCTTATAAGCTCCCGGCAGCTCTGGACACATCCTAGCAGCTAAGAAACCTCAGCAAAGAAGAGCTCCTCCTTCCCACTTTTTCTAGCCAAAGTCTTAGGACTATATCTCACTGGACCAACTTGGTCCACATGATCACCCACAAATCTATGTGGTTATGAGGATAGAGTATCCTGATTCACCAGTCCTGAGATGGGCATGGGTCAGTTCCATCCAAACCATAGGGACGGGAGTTAGAAGGGGAATTGCCCTGAGAAGTCGAGAGGATAGAACCAAAAGAGTAGCAAGCAGACACTAGGGAGGCAAAAAACAACAGATTTGTTATGTAGGGTCTAAAAGAAGGGGGTCAACAAGTGTTTTCTGTAAAGGGTCAGATAAATATTTTAGGGTTTCTGTTGCAATTACTCAACTCTGCTCTTGGAGTGCAAAAGTAACCGTAGACAATAGGTAAACAATAGGCTTCGCTGTGTTCTAATAAAACCTTGTTTATAAAAATGGGCTGTTGACTGGATTTGGCCCATGGCTGTAGTTTGCCAACTCCTGATCTATGCAGATACTACAATCTTCTTGTCCCACATATTCTAGAGACCTGAACAAATAAGATCTGGCACATGCAAAGCACTTAAGAAATGCTAGTTATTATTATATTGTTATTATTTATGCTATACTAAGGATAATAACAATGATAATGTTGATGGTAATTATAATACTAATTAGATAATGAGATATGATGAATTATGAGTCATAAGTCAGCAGTGTATTCCAGGACTGTTTCTAAACTGTTGGTGGAGCTTCCCCTCCACATACTCATAGAGCTGGAAGGCAGGGGAGAGGCATCCAACTCAAACATCTCATTTTATAGATGAGTCTTAGGCTCAGATAAGAGGCAGCACATGCACAAGTTCACACAGCAAGCTGGGGCAGTTTTGGAGTTTGCAGCTGTTTCTTCTGCAACCTTAAAGGACTCTACCCTATAGGTAGAGTCTGTTTACACCTACTGGTACACCCATGGTACACCTGTTATACCATGGTACATCTAGTACATTTGAACATGCAGGTGTAGTTAGATAGATATTCCTTGAGTTTTGGATCCATACTGAGTAGTGTGGTGATACTGTTGGTAATATTCCTGAACTGGTGGAAAGACCTGATTTGTGACTAGCATGTGTTATATGACTCATGAGAACTCCCTGCTGCTGAGATGACTCAGATGTCTGTTTTACACAAAGATTACCAAACACCTCTCGCCACGTTTGAAAACAATGAATAGTTACTCACTGCCTTTCTGACTACCCTCTTTGTCACTATTTCTATTCGCTTAGCATGCTGGCAGCCATTTAAACAGCTAGTCTTCTGTTTGGCTGGATGTTGGTAGGAGGAGTCTTCTTTAATCCCCCATCAACATGGATACAGAGAGGCCTGTGGGCACTTTTCTCTGTACTCAGTGTAGACCCATTCATAAAATTCTTCATGATTCTGGCAAAACCCTCCCTGGATTTTGGTTAACCAGCAGCTCTGCAGTAGTTTAGGAGGTGGATATTTTACAACCACAACTCTTTAGCTCTTTTTTTCCCCAAATTTATTTCCAACTTTCATCACTCAGGGTCATTTACATAAATCAATGCAAATAAATATTTTTCTTGAGTTAAAAAATGTTGTGGAATCTGCTGGTCCCAAGTACTACAGAGACCTCAGTACACTGAATGGAAAATTTGGGATTTGGTTTACTGTTCTAGGCCAAGGGTCAGAAAACATTTTTCTGTAAAGGGCTAAAGAGTAAATATTTTAGGCTTCATGGGCCATATGGAAAGCCATGAGTTGCTGACCCCGGCTGTGAGTGCTTGTAATTTATAAATATAAAATTGGAGGATGGAGTATTTGAATTGGCTGCCTAGTTACTTGAGCATAGTCCTACAAACTAAAGTCTTGGATTTGGGCCAATGTAGGTTTAGCTATGTGATTCTGATGCTTACTAGGTCATTTTAGGCACATTGGTGGCCTTAGTTCCTTGTCTATAAAATGAGGATAATAATAGCACTCTATCTGTTTGTTCCTTCCTCCTACTTGCTTATAGAATTGTTGTTGTGAGGATCAAACAAAGGAAACCACTTATCTCAGAGCTAGTATGTTCCATAAATGTTGAGAGTATAATCAATACTGTTATTAATATCAAAGCCCATTGGGTGAAAGCAAGTATTCAAGAGCAAACAATTAATGAGCTGATTGGGTCACCTTCAAAGGGTTCTAGATAGAGATCATCAAGAAACCTTTTTTCCTTCTCTTTTTAATTTTAATTTTAATTTTAGTTGTGGGGTACATGTGCAGGATGTGCAGGTTTGTTACATAGGTAAACCTGTGCCATAGCGGTTTGTTGCACTTATCAACCCATCACCTAAGTATTAAGCCCAGCATGCATTAGCTATTTTTCCTAATGCTCTACCCCCACCCACCCCACCCCCTGAGAGGCCCAGTGTGTGTTGTTCCCCTCCCTGTGTCCATGTGTTCTCATTGTTCAGCTCCTACTTATAAGTGAAAACATGTGGTGTTTGGTTTTCTGTTCCTGTATTAGTTTGATGAGGATAATGGCTTCCAGCTCAATTCATGTCCCTCTGAAGGAGATGATCTTATTCCTTTTTATGGCTGCATAGTATTCCATTGTGTATTTGTACCATATAAGAAACCTTTTTTCAGCATCTTCTGTGGGAGGATGTCTGAAGAGACTGGATCAGATTTTTAACAACATTTTTTAATTTAATTTTTTAAAAATTTTATTTACTTAATTTTTTTGAGACTGGCTTATGAGACTACCTAATTTTTGTTTTT
The DNA here is from genome assembly GCF_000001405.40 of Homo sapiens. Lineage (NCBI taxonomy): Eukaryota > Metazoa > Chordata > Mammalia > Primates > Hominidae > Homo > Homo sapiens. Next base: position 35,335,800 of record NC_000011.10, on the reverse strand, counting down.
GGTAGAGACAGGGTTTCACCATGTTGCTCAGGTTGGTCTTGAACTCCTGGCCTCAAGTGATCCACCTGCCTTGGCCGCCCAAAGTGCTGGGATTGTAGATATGAGCCACTGACTTGGGTGAGACTGGATCAGATTTTGCTTGGCATTGTTGTGAAGACCCTGGTAGTAACTCATGATAGACTGTCTTCCTTTCTCCAAAAAATGAAGCCTCACATTATTCAAAGGAAAATCTCAAATTAAAAATCCTTTCCTGAGCATTTCCTTCAGCTATAGAGTTCAGCTAAATGGCATGCCCAGGGTCTGGATCATCAACACAGTCTGAGGTGATGAGTGATTACAGGCCAGAGGAGTACTGGGACCTCTGCTAATTTGTTCCCCGTGACTTCATCACAGCTGCCCTTGGTTGTGCAATTGCGGTTGCTATGGCTGAAGTTTGAAAGAACTTGGCCTGAAGCTGCCTATATGGCCAATATCTTGGGGGAAATATAGCTTTCAATAGATAGGTTTTATGGGTATTTGTGAAGAATTAGCAGCTATGAGGTTGAGGTTGGGTATGTTGATGAGACTGGAGGAGAAGTTTGCTTGAGAGTGGCAAAATACAACAATACACAACAATACACACACTTCCCCCCCATCAATGCATACACTCTTAACTACTTTGGACAATTGAAGGCTATGTCTATGATGCTGTAAATAAAGAAATATTGAAGAATGTTATTCTCATCTTAAAGTATCAGGTTCTTTCAGCTGCCATATTGTAATGAAAAGGGGTTGGGTTTGGATGAAGACAGACCAAGGTGTGATTCCCAGCTGTCTACTCCTAGCTACCCGACAATGGAAAAGTTACTTAACTTTGCTTTCTCATCTGTAAAATGACTAACAGTCACTTCTCATATTGTACAAAATGTCTGTCTTAAGGGATGTTGCAAAACAAAACAAAACAAAACAAAACAAAACAAAACAAAACAAAACAAAACAAAACAAAATTGCTCTCCAGCCAGACTCTACAAGCTGTGAGTCCAACTCACCAAATCTTCACATCCTGCCCCCCAAAGTAGACTGGTAAAGAAAAGGCTGAAGTCATGTCTCAGCATTTGAGCATTGCTCTCTAGTCATTGCTCTAGAGAGTTCTAATCTTGGGGCTACTGATAATAAGGGGCCATGCAGAGAAGATAGTGAAGCCCTCCTCCACCCGCTGTAACCTGCTAGTCAGTCATCAATGATTCTTAAAGCACTGCCTCTGCCTGCTCTCAGGAAGGTGAGATGACGCATCACTTGCTTTTGTTTTCACACCTGTCCCCTGGGAACCTTTGCTCAAAGTTGTAAATTATGTGACATCTTTAGTAACAACAACGTGATTCGCTCTGTTAAATCACTCCCTACCTGCTTGTAGCCTGGTGAATAAATTTTCATTCCTTTTTTGAAGATTTTACTTAAGCATATGAAGAAAGCTCCCATCTGTACAATGATGGAACCAAAAGGGACAGGGGCTGCTAACTTAATGAGAGCCAGGCAGGTATGCACATGAAATCAGGAAACAGTTTGCTTTCCTCTTAACACTCTCTTCAGAAAGACAGCAATGGAAGCCTGATGATAAATAGTAATTGACACTTCGCATTGGTGTCAAGGAGACAATAAGGGATGGTGGGGACTGTGGCAGACTGGAAAATCCATGCCTATCTAAGGGACAATCACTTCTTAGTTCTATCTGATTGTTGCCACTCAGGGATCTAGGTTTCATAATTATAAGTGGACAAAACCCTTTAGTAACTTTCAATAATAATACTGAAACAAAGTGCATTGAAGTTTACTTAAGAAAAACTTAAATGAGCAGTGGCTTGCACCTGTAATCCCAGCACTTTTGGAGGCCAAGGCAGGTAGATTACTTGAGGCCAGGAGTTCAAGATCAGCCTGGCCAACATGGCAAAACCCCGTCTCTACTAAAAATACAAAAAAAAAAAAAAAAAAAAAAATTAGCTGGCATGGTGGTGCATGCCTGTCATCCCAGCTACTCGGGAGGCTGAGGCATGAGAATTGCTTGAACCTGGGAGGCAGAGGTTATAGTGAGCTGAGATCGTGCCTCTGCACTCCAGCTTGGGCAACAGAGCAAGACACTGTCTCAAGGGGAAAAAAAAAGAGAAAGAAAAACTTACATGATTAACAATATCTTACTATAAATTAAAGGGTTTTAGAATAAATTTCCAACTCTTCGTCATTAACATTGTTAAAGTTACTGCTTATTTAGCTTAGCAATAAAGAAAAGGAATCCTTATCTTAAGGTGAATAAATTCTGTGACATCTGTTAATTTTGGTATAACAATATAGGTAAAAGTTATGTTTTCTTTTTGTTTCTGTTTATGGTTTTTGCTTTTTTTTTTTTTCCTGAGGCAGAGTCTCATTCTGTCACCCAGGCTGGACAGCAGTGGTGCCATCTTAGCTCACTGCTGCCTCCGCCTCCCAGGTTCAAGTGATTCTCCTGCGTCAGCCTCCCCAGTAGCTGGGATTACAGGCATGCACCACCACACCTGGCTAATTTTAGTATTTTTTTTTAGTAGAGATGGGGTTTCACCATTTTGGCAAGGCTGGTCTCAAACTCCTGACCTCAGATGATCCACCCACCTTGGCCTCCCAAATTGCTGGGATTACAGGTGTGAGCCACTGTGCCCCCTCACTGCACCCTGCCAAAGGTTATGTTTTTTGAGTAGCTGCGAAAGAGACCTGTTCGGAGAGTGAATACTTGATCAGCTGTGTGCGGATGGGGAATGAGACCACTCCAGGGAGCCAACCTGAGGAACAGTTGGCAGTTGTTTGAAGATCCACCAGGTTTAGCTCAGTGGGCTAAGGAAGTTAAGAGCGAGAACTGAAGTAAAAGAGAAAGAGGAGAGAGACTCTGAAGAGTATGGGGAGGAAGAACAAATTTGCTTATAATGAAATTGTATTGCATGTTCTCTAGGTAGCGTGTGCTGCAGACTTCTTCCCTTTCTCCCCATAAAATACAAAAACAATTTCTGCCCTAAGGAACTGTGGAGTCGAATCTGCTCTCAGATAAAGGACAATGGGCTGAGTGTGTGTTCAGGGCAGATGGGGAGAGGGAGGATGGAGGAAGAAAGCATGATTGTCCATGGCAAAAAAACCCTGCCATTTCTGTGTTAACTCAAAGCCCTAGAATATATTTGAGTCCAGAGATCTCATCTGGACTTATCTGTAAGTCTTATTTGACCCCTCTGTCTTAATTTTGTCATATACATAATTCAATCTACCAGCTTTTGCTGAACACCTATTAGGTGCCTGGCATTGTACATGTCATTATATAGAGGATTCAAATAAAAACAGGACATGTTCCTTGCTTTGATGTCATAATTTAAGAGTCAACCTGATAAGTCACTCGGCGAGAAACTATCCTCAGCATAAATTTGAGACTTTACGAGTTGAGCAGGAACAAGCCTTTCTTCCAAGGCACTTGGGATGAAGGCTTTTCACCTCAGTTGCTAAGGAATTAAGTGGTGTTGATGACCCGGTAGCCAACATACCACATCATCACCACTTCCAGGCTGTTGAGGAGACGTGGTGCTGCTGGAATGACTTCAGGAAGTGCATAAAAATTCAAGTCATGATCACTTGTGGTAATTAGAAGCCCTAGTTGCTTTTGGCAAGGTCACTAAACATTAGTTGGAGCTTCTGGTGGACTTCAGGTTTCCTGATCCTTTCCTTGTGCTTTGTTTAGGCTTCTGTCCAAAGCCATCTCCATGGGAGATGCTTAAGCTGATAAGGTCCTGCCACTCGCTGTCAGAGGCACCTCCCAGTCCCTGCAGACTTGGGTCCCCTTAGTACCTCCAAATCACTAGTCTCTCAAAAATTCTTATTAAACACCTAACATGGACAGGGCCCAGGGATAGATGTATGGCCCTTCCTTCACAGAGTCTAAGGCCTAGTGGGAGAGGCAAACCATATGAATGTGATGAATTGTGCAACGTTAAGATCTCAGAGGCATGAAAAGTAGATTGGGGGCTCAGGAAAAGATTATTCGAAGAGACAACATCAAAGAGTCACTTAAGATTTCAGGTTCGAATGTGCGAAGTAAAATATTCCCCAAACACCACGAACTGCATCTGTGTATGGAAAAGGTGGGAAGAGAATGGATCGTGCAAGAGGATGTATTGCACTTGTGGACTGTGCCATATCAGCACAAAGCCCTGTGAACCAGCCTGTCTCCACAAGCTACCAGAGTGATAAATATACATTCTTCTCTTAAGAAGAAATTCTCCTGGTGAGAACATTACCCTTCAGGGGTGACTGGATGGCTCAGTTTATCACTTGTAAATTTAGCAGATCAAACTAGTTGAGAAGCAGTTGGGCAGTCAGTAAACTGACTGGACTGCTGGGATCAACAGGGACTGGATGTTTAGTTCACTTTCAATAGCCACAAATTTAGCAGCTCATTAGAAGGAACCAAAGTAAAGAACTGCACAAGTCCTCTGGGAGGCCTTGAAAGGCTTCCATGGGCGATGGAAGCCATTTAGAGGCATGGTGTTGCTGAGCCTTTTAAACACGTGATTAGCTAAAGAGAGAAAGATGTTACTTTGGTCTGCATTTCTCTAGGGCAGGAGGAAGTGAGGAAGGGAGGAGCAGAACACTTCAGCCTACATCTCAGGAAGGGAGGCTGAGAAGCAGTGTCTGGCTGAGCATGCTGCTTCTCTGAGCAGATTTCTAGAAGCAGCAGAGGTGTGGGTGTGGACAGGAAACTCTCTATGTCTATCACCTTCTGCTGAGGCTTTTTGTAAACAACAAATGAGATAGTGTAGCATAAGGTCTGGTACTACCTTAGTTTCCCATTGTTGCAGTAACAAATGATCACAAATCAAGAGGCTTAAGACAAGACAACTTATTATCATATAGTTCTGGAGGCCAGAAATCTGAGTTGGGTCTCACTGGGCTAAAATCAAGGTGTCAGCAGGGCTGCATTCTTTTCTGGAGGCTCGGAGGAGGAGTCTGTTTCCTTGCCTTTGCCAGTTTCTAGAAGCTTCTCACATGCCTTGGCTCCTGGCCCTTTCCTTTATCTTTAGAGCCAGCAACATTGGGCTGTGTCTTTGTCATGCTGCCATCCTTCAGTTCTTTCTTTTCTGTTTCCCTTTTTCATGCATAAGAACCCCTGTGATTCCACTGGTCCCACCTGGAGAATTCAGGCGCATCTCCCTATCTTGAGGTCAGCTGATTAGCAACCTTCTTTGCAACTGCAGCCTTAGAGCCCCTTTGCCATGTAATCTGACACATCCACAGGTTCTGGGGATTAGGACATGGACATTTGTTGGGGCATTACTCTACCTATCACTGGTACAGAATAAAAAGTCAATAAATGGTTCTATTCATTACCAGTACTCCCTACCACCTTCTTTCTCTACTGTGAAATTACCTATGCCCTTCAGTTTTTCAAAGGCAGGGCAGAAGCCTCAGCTCTGGTAGAATCTGACGTGCTGGAGGTTGAAAGTGAGAAAGGCAGTCTTTGATGGGCTTAGGGGAGTGGGGAAGTGACCAGCCCTTACCTGGAAGGTTGTGTGCAGGTCTGGGAGGCACAGGCAAGTAAGTAGCTTGAGGTGCTTTAACCAGGATAGTGACAAACTTGGGAGAAGAGAAAACCCTGAGCAGAAACTTCATATGCCTCAAAGGTTGGTAGATGGAGAAGGGATTCAGCTTCATTTTCTGTAAGTGTCGTGATTAAGTGTGTGCACCTTGTTCAGGCCAAGCTGGGTTGCCATCCCAGCTCATCTACTCACCAACTGCCTGACTTGGAGCAAATGTGCTCCTCTCTCTGACCTCCAGTTTTTCATCTATAAAGAAGGACTAATAATAGTAGCTATCTTGTGAGAGTGTTGTGGGAAGTCAATGAAATAATGCATGTAAAGCATCCAGTACATTGTCTGATGGCAACTGTTATTATTAGGTAGCTCCACAGGATAGAAAAATAACCTGTGGGTAAAAGCTGCAGGGAAACAGATATAGGCTCACCATAAAGGAAGGGCTTCTTAATAGTCAAAGCTATCCAACGGCGGGATGGTTAGAGTAGAAGTGATAAGCTGCCCTGCACTGCAACTGTTCAGGCATTGACCAGACATTGGTATGTGGATTAGCTGCAACAGTGTCATCTGGGTGCTTTTGCAAAAGCCCAGAGGTCTAGGCCCCATCCAGATGTGATGAATTGGAATATTCAGGGATGGGGCTTGGAGATCTGTTTTGTGCTTTGTTTTGTTTGTTTTTATTTAATATGCTGTTTTTTAAAGAGTAGTTTTAGTTTTACAGGAAAATTGAGTGGAAAGTACAGAGAGTTCCCATATACCCCTGCTCACATTCAGGTGCAGCCTCCCCAACTGTCAACATCACCCACCAGAGTGGTACATTTATCACAAGCGATGAACTTACATTGATACCTCATTATCATGCAGAGTGCTTAGTTTACATTAGGGTTGGCTCTTGGTGTTGTACATTCATGGGTTTGGACAAATGTATGATGATGTGTATTTACCATTATAGTAACATACAAAGTATTTTCATTGCCTTAAAAAATCCTCCGTGCTTCACCTATTCAGCACCATGCCCCTCCATAGTTTTGCCTTTTCCAGAATGTCATATAGTTGGAATCATACAGTATGTAGCCTTTTCAAATTGGCTTCTCCCACTTAGTAATATGCATTTATTTTTCCTCCATGTCTTTTTTTGGATAGATAGTTCATTTCTTTTCAGTGCTGAATAATATTGCATTGTCTGCATGTACCATGGTTTATCCATTTGCCCACTGAAGGATGTCTAGGTTGCTTCCAAGTTTTGGGAATTATAAATAAAGCTGCTATAAATATCCCTGTGCAGTGTTTTGTGTGGACATAAGTTTTGGAGATCTGTATTTTTAACAAGTGATCCAGAGACAGAGTTGGGGCCACTAGACCAGATAATCATTTGTCCAGAGGCTGAGAGGGGACAGGAAGACTCTCTAGTCCAGAAATTCTAGGGTTCCATGACTGTTGTATGTAGCTCTTGGATCAGGCTCTGGTTTGGACTAGGTGTTAACTTTCTTCTCTCTGGGATCCTTCCCATCCCCCAACAGCAAAATCACTCTTTTGGCCAAATGTTCAGTGTCGATGTCTATTGCTAGCATGAAATTGCCTAATATAAAGAGCAAGTTTTCTCGGGCTGGAGGGAGAGTGGGCTGACCAGTTTTTCCAAGTCCAGGACTGACAGGGATCAAATCCTAGCTCTACCATCCATTACTTTTGTGACATTGAGCAAGTAACTTAACCATTCAATGACTTCATTTTTCCTTCAGTAAAAGTTGCTGATAGTAGTACCTATCTCCTGAGGTTATTGTGAGAAATCAATAAGTTCATATATAAGAAGACTTAGAAAAATACCTGGTGTGAAGTTAGTTTTGAGTAAATGTTAGCTGCTGTCATCATTATTGTCACCATCATTATTCTTATTATTACCAGTTACCAGACATTAGGGTCCCTCTGATGGGGGAGTCCTTCCCGGTGAAGAACCAGAGTTGGAGTGAACCCTTGAGGTTATTTCACAGCAGCAAGTGCTGGCTGAGTCAGTGGGAATAGGATGGTTCCTGTGTGCCCTCGTTGCCTGAAGGGAGGAGTCAGTTGAGTGGATGCCATTTTCTTATGATGGTACATCTGGGGCCATGGCACCAGCAGCATATATTGTCCAAGACAGACAACAAGGCCATAGCTCCCCAGAGCTCACTTTGCCTTTTCTCTCATTTAGCAGCACTTCCTCTCTCTATCTTCCCTCTCCATGTGCTAGAATGCAAGTCTCATAAGTAGCTACCTAGTGCCTTGGTGTAGATGGTAGTTCTAACATGTCCATTGCTCTGTAAATACCCCAAGAAAGAGTATACCCATAAAACACTGGACTCAAAGGCAAAGGACAGCACAGGTTTAACTTTGCTGCAGAACCACAGCACAGGTTTAACTCTGCTACTTCCAAGCTTCATGAGCTTGGGCAAGTTTCAGAATCTTCTGGAGCTTCTGTCTTTTCATTTCTAAGATAGAATAATCCTTCCCTCTCCGGGATGTCATTAACTCTTGATGAATGCAAAAACGCTTTTTAAATGACACAAATGTTATTATTAGCTTATTTGTTAGAAAGTTAAACTGATGAAATGTTGGTTATTATTTACGATTGAAAGATGAACACAAGGAGAAGAGTCTGCTTGGGTTCCTGTTATGGAAGACAAGAAAGGAAATGTATGAGAGTTCTTTGCTGTTATGGGCATGGAAGAGTAGAAGGAAGATGAAGGCCACAAACTTCTTCTTTGGCCAGTGAGGTCACTCTGTTATAACCTGGACTACCTTAAGGCCCCGCTGTTTTGCCTCATCTGAAGGAGATGTTTACATGTTCCCAAAGTATAAGGTGTTCTTTGGGCAAAATTAGTACCTGTTCTTTTGCTGGGAAATCCACCAGTATGGGAATCAGCCATTTAAGGCCAAAGATAGATATACTATATGTATTTACTTCTAACACCATAATTTAATTTGCCTATTTTTCAACTTTAGCTCAAGTTTAGCACTCAGACAAAAAAGCACACAAATCTTACATGAATAGTGTGATTAATTTCCACAAACTGCACACTCATGTGAAATGAGCATCTGGATTAAAAAGGAAAAAAAGGAGAATAAAATTGCTAGCATTCAAGAAACGCTGTGGAGGCCTCAGAATTTCAAACACGGTTGACTTCAAGACTGATCCTGGCAATGGTATGCAGTTAGCAAAGTTTACGTCATTTATGTTTTGACATCTCCTTTTGTCTGGCTTCCAGATATGGTTCTGTCCAGGACCTATATTAAGGGGTTCCTCCAGACAATTCTATTTTGGGGGATGGATTGAGAATCTCCTTTATACTAAGGTGTCAGTGAATGGGTTGCTTTTTCCGTGAGTTTCTGGCTTAAATCTGGGTCCTTGGGTGGAATCCAAAGGGATAGTTCTCTCAAGGAGGAAATTTGGGTCTCTGGGAGCCAGAAGTGGGTGACTTTGAAGGTCTCCAGGGAACTTTTGAGGAAGCTCTTAAACATCATCTCACAAAAGAATTGTGTGGCGTTTTGAATGCCTGCCATGGTAAATCTTGCAATTTGCAAGGTCATGGTAGTGACTTGCCTTCTTGCTTGGGATTGATGCTACATTGCCTGGTTGGCTGCTCAGTCTAGAAGGAAGAAAAAAGAGACAGACTGCACTGAAGAAAAGCAGTTGTAAAGTGTGATAAAAAGACCCAGTCCTGGCTAAGGTATACAGCACCTCACCCAGTTTCTGCCTAGTGCCTGAAGGCGCTGCAGCTAATTAAACCACCTCTTAGTCAACATCCCAGTCACTCCCATCTGGGAGACTGATTGGAAAGGCTCAGTTTGAGAAACTTCAGAGGCTAGAAGAAACTCCCAGGCCTGAGGGCCAAATCCTGAGCTCTTTTAACCTCAAGCTCAGGGTTCCAGTGGCTCTTGGAAGGGGAATGAGTACTCATGCTTTCTAGCAGAAGGACCACATTTTGGAGGGTCCAATTTAGAGATGTTGATGCTTGGTAGTTGGGTCCTAAGATATCCTTCACGGACAAGTGCATCTTCCCGGGTCCTCATCAGTTTCCCCAAAGGCCTTGTTGGGTGAACCTAGAGTGGTTCCTCGTTCCATCTTCCCTCAAGAGTGCTGGGAGCATTGAGGCCACCATCCTTGGTCAGGGCAGCTGGATCACAACCACCAGCAGAAAAGAACCAGACCTGCTGTGATGCTGCCCGTTTCTGCTACACACTGGTTTTCCCAATGCAGGTGTTCCCTCCTTTTTTTTTTTTTTTTTTTTTGAGATAGAATTTCACCCTTGTTGCCCAGGCTGGAGTGCAATGGTGTGATCCCGGCTCACTGCAACCTCCACCTCCTGGGTTCAAGTGATTCTTCTGCCTCAGCCTCCCGAGTAGCTGGGATTACAGGTGCCTGCCACCATACCCAGCTAATTTTTTGTATTTTTAGTAGAGACAGGGTTTCACTATGTTGGCCAGGCTGGTCTGAAACTCCTGACCTCAGGCAATCTACCCGCCTCAGCCTCCCAAAGTGCTGGGATTACAGGCATGAACCACTTCACCTGGCCCGCCTGCTTTTTACAGGACGTGACTTCCCCACTTGAAACCATTTCTGATATTCCTTCTCTCATTTCTCTCTTCTTCTCAGATTTGTTAGCCTTCTGGACCACTACCTCTTACAATGGAGTGTCACAAAGAACCTGTGACAAGAACATATTTTAACCTAATCATCCATTCATTCATTCCTTCAGGCAACATAAACTAATTGAGCATCTACTATGTGCCAGGAAGATGCTAGGCATGGTGGAGACAGAGACAAATAAGACACAGTTTGTCCTCAAAGTGTTTATGTTCTAGTGGGGAAAACATACAAGTAAACTGTGAAAAATGCCTTGAGAGCACAGGCGACATGGTAAACTGCATCTACAAAGCAAACCTGGGAGTCATCAAAGGCTTCCTGAGGGAAGTCATTCCTGAGTTATTTGGAAGGAATAAAAGTTGGTCTAAGAAGGCTGGGTTGGAGGGTGGGTAGAGGATGTTTTAGCTAGCAGAGATGGTTTGCTTCAAGGCAAGCTGGCTTATTCATCTGGAAAGGGGCCAAGTTGCCCCGGCTCAAAACCCAGAGTGCATGCCACATGAATCTTCCTCAGCTTGTTGATGTTGTGTGAAGTTATCAAATGTATTTTCGTCTTGTTCCATGAACCAGAGGTGGGTAGCCATTACTTCAGAATTGACAGGCCTTTGGGGACTAGGCTGGCCAATATGTTCCTGGGCCATGGCATAATCTTTATTTTTAGAAGAGGTTCCCAATTTGAGATGATCAAACACCCCACCCCAGTCTCTCATTGGGCCCTGGAGGCTCATTGTTACTTGGTGTCTTATTTCTGTTTGGGGTGATGAGTCTATCTGGAAATAAGCAAATTTGTTGGGTCAAAGCTGGCTAAGTCTCTGCCTGGGGAAGGATTTCACAGAAGTCCAGAGGCCATATCCTTAAGGTTGTACTCCTGATGTCTTTTGAGGGGTTATCCAGTCATTCCATCATAGGGAGGCTGATGGCAGTGGGACCTTCCCAGGCCCCCACCCACTCTGGACCCTCTGGGACTTTCTGTTTGTAAAAAGCACCAGCACCAATGTATTGGCAAGGAGATTTACTAAAACTCAACAGTGAGTAAACTCTCTTACTGGTCATTTTGCATCATATGAGGGATTTCAGGCAAAGAAAGGATATTAAAATTGAGTATCTACTATATATCAGATACTATATCAGTGCTTTCATAGATATCATCTCACTGGAGCTCTGTAATGACCCAGTGAGTTGCATGGTTTGTCCAAATGACTAAATGTCTTGTCTCAGCCACTGCCAGAAAAGAGACATTTTAACCAAGAATCAATGGCCATGTAATTATGTGATTGCATTCCACCAACTTGTCTTCTGACAGTTACTCATCAGAGCTGGTGTTTTAACATCTGTTTCTGAGCCAAACAAATACAACTTTTATTGATCCCTTGAAAACTTTGTCTCCTGCTACTTTGTCTTTGCAGCTTCTGTGTAGACACCTGAAGGCTCCACTGGCTGTATACCTGCCATTCATTGTATTAGCTGGCTTGGGCCACTGTGCTTAGGAAGCAATATGGAAAAAAAGGCTCTTCTCCTTCGATTTCTCATCTTATCTTTTCTGAGTGCCACCTCACCAGTTCCACAGTAATTGACTGTGCCTGATGTAGGTGGTCTCTCAATGACTTAGTGGTAAGTTTAGCACTTTGCTGGTCCCAATGCCAGTTTACCTGTTTGACTGTGTTCCCAAGGCATTGACCTGCCCATGTTAGAAATCTAGACCTGAGAATGGGTGAAGGATGGATGAGGAATTAGAAGATGCTCACGTCTGAATTGTGTACTGAATTTCATCCCAACCCAGCTTTATTGGCCCTAGAAAAACATGCTTCCGTAACAGATAGGACAGGTTAAAAGGAACACAAAAACATCAAGAAATGGTTGTTGTTATTGTTGCTGTTGGTTTGTCGCTCATCTCTACCTTTCCCTGTGAGGGTTGTGGTATAGCTACTGAGCTGTCTCATGGCGAATGAAATGACTTGTCTTCATGGTCAGCTCTAAGCTTATTCCATCGTGGGTACCTAGAATGGAATCCACATCTCTAGAACTGAATGCTACTACTATCCTTTTCCCTACCTGGAGAATTAGAGAATCACAGGATTTTAAATGTTAAAGAATTTCCAATTCAACCCTCTTATTTTATAGATTAAGAGAATGGGACCTAAAAAATAAAAATGGGCCAAAATTGATACTTAAACCTTATTGATATCTTACATTAGAACGTGTTTTTACCATTTCATAGCAGTTTACCCTACTGTCTGTTGATCACAGAAGGTAACATTATATCCATTTTATCCTCATACTTTTCCCCTGACACACCCATTTAGCAGCCGTCCTGGAATTAGAACACAGACTTCCTGACTTCCAGTCCTATCCTGGCCCAATACCATCATGATTCAGGATAGCTATACACTGTATTCTTTAACCAGCCCCTCGAATGGACTGGAAGAAGCTATAGAAAAGAGGTTTGTGAAGTCTGGAGTGCCTCACCAGCAGGACCAGAAAGTAATTCTGTGATTTAGCAAATGAACGCTGTGAAGACACAATGAATAGAAGAAGGGACTGAAGGAGACTTTGGAGGCTGTCACCCTTTAAGTTTCATTTGCAGGATCTGTGACAACACGGTATCTGTCAGAGAGAGACTGACATCTTGGTTGGTAAACATCTTTGACACAGTTAAGGCAGGTCTTACAGGATCTAGGAAGGGTGGAGGGATTTGCAGGCTGTTGGAAATGCCAGAAAGTCTTAGAGTTTCAGGCCCTTTTAAAGCAGGGGTGGCATTCTTCAAGGAGCTGGGGGAAACCCTGGATGTGGGACAATCAAAGCTGAAATCTCTGCTTCCTGGTTCTTGGTGCTCGAGCTGATGCAACAGGTATTTCCAGCATTCTTATCCAAATACAACAACTGTCTTACGGGAGAGGACCTGCAGTGAGCACTGTTTTTGTTCTTGATTCTAGGGTGACCTAGTGTCTTCCAGTAGGGCAATCTCTGGACATCTTTATCTCCCCAGTACCTCTCCAGATCCTGAAGCCTGGGGCCAGGGAGGAGAGGTTAGATGTCAGCAGTGGAAGGACAGGTGGGTGAAGCCCATTGCAAACCTCACATCCTCCAGGAGAAACACACCAGTTGCTTTTAGGCTCCCTGGGGAGTGTTCTGTTGCCACCTCATCAAATCAGTGAAGGTGGAAAAAAGAGTTTGGTGCCAGCTAAGGTGACACTGAAGTGTGCAGCAGGAAATCTGAATCCAACACCACATCTAATGAGCCTATTATTACAGGCTATTGGCAAAGCAAGGGAAATCGAATGCTAATGAAAAGCAGGTTCTGAGAATAGTTTAAAACTTAGCGTTAGCCCCATTACACGTTCCCTTCTGAGTCACAGAGGATGATTTGCACGATAAGCTGAGCTTGCCTTGAACCAGGACTCACGTGGATTTGCATGAGAAAGAACTGGGCAGAGATTGCAATATTAACAGCTGTTTAAATAATTCAATGGAGAGGCTAAGGCTGAAGGAAATTATGGGCTCATTGTTAAAAGTTTTTAATTATCCCAACAGCTGTCCCATCACATGGCCTTACTTTGTTAGGCAGTGGAGGCCATTTGAGAGATCGGCCTGAGTTGGCGCACTGGAACTTCCAACATTAAGGCATTGCATTGCTAATATTCCTCAATTTAGGAGGCAGTCAAGCAGAAACACAGATGGTGGGCAGTGTCAGAGAGCATTAGCCTCGAGGGATTTGGTGGACCCAAATCCAACCTGGGTTTTATTGCTTTGTTCTGTGTGCACAGCCACAGGACATAGGAAGGGAATATTAGTAAAGGGGTAAGCGTGCCCACTGGACGTGACTTACTGTGTATCCGGTGGACTTCCCAGACCAGATTTGGCACTTTCTGCTCATTGCCATGGGAGCAAACCTGCTGGCTGTTGTGACCTTAGGCTTTCCATCTGTATCCAACTCACCTCTTCCTGGTAACCATATCTCTTAGGGGGCGCTGAAATAGTCATTTAAACCCTCATAATATTCATGATGGTGACAGGGCCCAGCATGACTTATTACATATTCATTTGAATCCATGTAAAAATCAACATGTGGACCCCAGAGTGTGCATCTGGGTGGGAGCTTTAGGATCTTGGTAGTAAGACAGATTTCCAAATTGTGTATGTTCCATTTATTTGCTAAGCTCTAGACAAATTGCATAAAATACTTGAAGAAACCCCTCATTTCTTCTAGGTTTCTATTCAAATGTCCCTTCATCACAGACGCCTTCCCTGGACACTTGATACAAACTCATGCTGCCTCCCCACACACTGCTATCCTTCTCCTCCACCCTTGATGTGGTTTGGCTGTGTTCCCACCCAAATCTCATCTTGAATTGGAGCTCCCATAATCCCCATGTGTTGTGGAAGGGACCCCGTGGGAGATAACTGAATCATGGGGGCAGTTACCCTCATGCTGTTTTTGTGATAGTGAGTGAGTTATCACAATATCTGGTGGTTTTATAAGGGGCTTTTCCCCCTTTTGCTTGGCGCTTCTCCTTGCTGCCACCATGTGAAGAAGGACACGTTCTCTTCCCCTTCCACCATGATTTGATTGTAAGTTTCCTGAGGCTTCCCAAGCCATGCTGAACTGTGAGTCAAACCTCTTTCCTTTGTAAATTTCACAGTCTCGGGTATGTCTTTATTAGCAGAGTGAGAATGGACTAATACAACCCCCCTCTGAGCACTTCTCACTACTTAAAATGTATTTATCCATGCATTTGTTCTCTCACTAAAGTGCACACTCCATGATATCAAGGGCTCTGTCTTTTTGTTTACTGCAACATCTTTAACATCAACAACAGTATGGTGCCTGTAATATGGGCCCACTAGAAATTTGTGGAATAAATGCACGAATGGTCAAAATCTGACTGAAGTGGCATGCTGCCAGTCTGTCTGCAGAAGGGCCTTATTCCCAGGGGCAAGCAAGGGGCCCTTTTAGAGCTGCTTTTCAATTCTCAATTTCTCTTGGCAAACATTGATTAAGCACTCAGGACTAGGTGTTAAAGATCACAATCTTGCCCTCCTGGGGCTCATAGACTGGTGGAGAATGTAGGCATTTAAATTAAATCCATCCTTCAAGAGCTGACTCAGGTCTCGGCCCCTTCTGGGACCCCTTCTTGAACATTCCTTCTTCTTCCCTGAACCTGGGTTAGGCATTGTTCTTATGATTTCCCATAGACTCCTTTGCAAGCTTGCTCATGGCCTGTACATAAAGCAGACAATTACAGTACAATGTGCTTTATGTTTCCTCTCTGAGTAAAGGCTCTTTAAGAGTAAAGATTGTACCATACCCATTACTGAGTATAGTGTCTGATACATAGAGAACACTCAATAAATATAAGTTATGCCTGTTATTGTCACTGTTACCAGGTGTGTTTGCAATCAGCATTTATATAGCTGTTTGTGTGAACACATTTTTTAAAACTTATATCTTATTCTAAAGGTATATAGGCTTAGAAGCAGCTGTATATTATATAATATTCTATCATGCTATACTATATGATAGTTCCCATGTCAGTCTCTGTTTGTGTTCTGGGAGACGTAGTGATTAGTTAGACTAATTAGAATAGTTGGAATTTTTAGATTAGTCAGAATTTTTACAAAGAGTTCTTGGGGGACTCTGTGTTTCCAGCTGCGAGCTGAGTCCCTGAATTACCTTAAAAATTATTTTCTATGTGCAAACATCAAGAACTCTTACAAGTCTTCCATATCTGTTTAATTCCAAGAGGGTAACTCACGAGAATTCTCTCAATAAATATTTGTGGGTTTATAGTATTTTGATGTAGCCACTTTGATGTGGCTGTTTTGATTCAGGGCTTCAGGGACATTTTGTTATGGCCTAAAAAACAAACCATTAAAGAGGCAGCAATTTTGTACAACAAAGAAATGTGTGGCACAGGCATCCAACCACATTGCCAGGTTGGGTGTGTATGCTAACCTAATGTTTGTGTGTTTTCACTTTGACATGGCTGTTTTGATGCCTGACGCTTCCATTACATCATATGGATCTTGCCAGAATGGTTGCTTTAAATACTTCCTAGTTTTACTTGAATACCAACCATGTGCCTGATTCTCATTTCAATGGCAGGAGGGATTCAAATGAAGCAGAAGGCAAGGAGATTAATGATCTCAAGGGGACTGGAGAGTTTTGCCAAGAGCTGGCTAAGGAAATACATTCACCATTTCAGAACGCATACTACCTCCATTCTTTGTTTGACATTTCCTGGTTTAGAGCTTCAGATTACTTGCTGGAGACATGTTTAAAAATGGAAAAAGATCCCACTGCAAACACAGAAATATGGTCTATCCACGTTAAAAAGGTCATTTTGATCATTTCCCCCTGCTGTGTTGTAAAATGAATTTTCTGTCTGTTTCACTTGGCGAGGGGAGGAAGTGATATTTGTTGCTCACTGATCAGAAAGGCCCTCACCCAACTGCTGTGAGCAGTCATACCCTATTTTCTTTTTCAGATGGTCTGAGGGATTGTTATTGCACACATATGTCAGGAAACCAGAAGTTGCCTCAGAAATTAACTAGATGAATAGAAAATTAGGCCATTAAGGGGAGACTAAGAAGCCTATATTTTGACTAACATTCTCATCTGGTCATGCAATGTTATTCCTAATTTTAAAACATTTGGGTAGCAAGTATATTAAGCAGCCTGTTATGAAAAAGCAAGTAGTTGTATTTGGGTTCCAGGTCTTAACTCTGAGTCTGGAAGCTAAGTTCTTGGTGTCTTGCTAGAATGGCAGGGCAAGTGGGTAAGCCCCCTGAACAAAATGTCATCCTTGTCATGAAGTTGATGGGTGTTATATGTCTCTTCTTTGTGTGCACTGGAGAAAGGTACTATGCTAGCATATTTTTGTTTAATTTTTATGAAGTAGGCATCAGGCATTTCTTTCTACACCCCACACAGCTAGCAAGAGTTGGAGTCAGGATTTGAAGTCAAGGCCCTCTGACTCCAAAACCCACACTATTCCCATTATAACCAGTTATTCCAAAACACTGGTCTGCAGCTCGGTGTTGGTTCCAAAGGAAGTTTTCTCCAGTCTATGACAAGACTATCTGGATAATGCAACACCTCCCTGTCTTGAAAGCACTGTCATCTGTTCAGAGACACCTCTCTTTCTAGGTGTGAAAGGCTTATTTTTTTTCTTTTATCAAATGATGGTGATTGTAAATAGCAGCTAAAAAAATGTTCTAAGATATCAAAGTGAAAAATTGGCCTCCCTATGGCAATCCCCAAGCTTACATCTGGAATCTTATTGGCCTGGGAAGTGACAAAGCTGAGGAAGGAGAAGTACTCCCATTACCCCAGCAAGGGCTCCTTTGGGCAGACTCCCAGGATGGCTTAGGCTTACCTGAGGTTAACCCAGAAAAGGGCTTGGCTGCAGCCATAGCTGGAGGTGATCAAAATACTTCTTAAAGCCATACTTCTTGGACTCTAAGTGGTATTAGCTCTTGCCAGTTTAGCTGTCCTGATAATGTAGGTGGCCTTTTAAAAGCCACAATAGGTTGAATTATTATTATTATTTTTTTACTAGATAAACTATCTTTTCCAAAAAAGAAATAAAGCTTGGATGATCAGTGTTTGTGACGTTTACATGTCAGGATGGGGAAGGCTTGAGCTTGGAGATATTTTAATGTTGATGTAACTCAAGTATGACTCTCCTGAAAAAGTCACCTTTTTACTGTTGTTACAAGAAGAAAATAGCTCAGGCTTTGGAGCCAGACCTATCTGGATTTGGATCTCTATTTTAGCCTTTGCAACTTTGGTCAAGACTCAAGTAAAGGCTCTGTAACATGATAACTTCCTTCCCCAAGTTACCACGGGGGGCAACTCTTTGGAAGATCCTACCATTGCATGCGGTGTTCCTTTCCTTTACTGGGAGGATCCACATCAGTTCTCAGTGTGTCCTCCTGTCCTGCTTATAGGTGACCCTGAGTCACACTTACTTTTATTTTCCTGCAGATGGTTCCAGATTCCAACTGTGCCTGGAGAGGTTCCTACTAGTCGAGCCCCTGAAACTGTATAGGGGAGGTGCCAGTCTCTCTAATCTCTGCCTTCACTTCTGTTCCAGTGCCAACAATATGCCCAAGCAGGTGGAAGTGCGAATGCACGACAGTCATCTTGGCTCAGAGGAACCCAAGCACCGGCACCTGGGCCTGCGCCTGTGTGACAAGCTGGGGAAGAATCTGCTGCTCACCCTGACGGTGTTTGGTAGGTACCTGCACTACCCCACCCCCAGCCCCCTCTTCTCTGGGACTCTCCTGGCTCTGTGGGGCAGCTGGTCTCAGCAGCCAGCCCTTCCACCAGAAAGGAAGCCACGTGGTTTGCCTAGGGCCCTGTCTGCCCAGGCTTCAGTGATATAATTTTCCTCCTTACCTCCTCTAGCCATTCATTCTCCTTTGGATTCTAGTAGTTCTTAAATTTTTTGCAAATAAATATCTTGTGAGAGTGTTGGCATGTGGATTCCTATACTTATGGAGACTTTGCTTTGGGCCACCTGAAATGAGGTCCTGCAATCTACATATTAGCAAACCTAGGTGGTTCCAAAGCATTGGTCCATGGACCACATTTAGAGAACCGCCTGCATCAAGATAAGCACAAGTATTGCACAAAACCCCACTAAAATGGCTCCCAAGGTCTGAGCTTCTTCAGACACATCATTAATTTAGGTAATTTGGGCACATTAGCTAATGAGGTCAGTGTGGAAGATGTTTGCCCCAATGCCTTGATCTGCTCCAGCTCCATCTTGCAAGTCCTCTTCCTCCTCTGCTTCAGGCCTCACCCAGGCGATGGTTGTTCTCAGGCTATTGATACAATCTTGGTCTTAAGATTCCCGTGAGGGTTTATTGAAAATGGGGCAATATACAGTTTCTTGTAATGACAACCACACCATTTCCTTTCTCAATCCCTCCCTTGTTCTGCAGCTCTCACTTAGGTTTCACAGAGAAGCAGTGAACAACTTGTCCTTCCCACCCACCCACCTGCACACACCTACCTGAACCCCTCCATTCCATGGCCTTTCCTTTGAGACAGATGCCTTGGTTGCCAGTGGCCCAGGATCAGGACTGGGAGCTCGCCACAGCTAAGTTCACTTAATAAGAAACCACAGGCATGGTTAGGTTTTCCAAAGGTTACCCGCCATGTAACCACATCTAATTCATCACAGGACTTGAAGAAGTTGGAGAGTGGGATTTTTACCTGCAGAAGAAAAAAAATCAGGCTTTCAGCCACATTACTCCTTCCTCATCTGTGGAATTAACACTGTAGCCTGCATTCCTGGAACTCCATCCCTCCCTTATGGCCAGTGGTACTATGACCCAACTTGTGGTTTCTGAAAGGGTCATTCATGTTGGCCACCCATTTGCAGAGATATAAAATTTTTCTTCTGGGAACTTTGAGTCTGTAAAGTGAAAGATCCCTGCCAGCATCTCTGCCTAAATTGTTTCCTCCAAAATTATATATCTTAGAGTCCATTCTTGAGCTCCCATAAGATCAGCAATCTAAAAGCTATGTAAAAGGACATAGAAGTCAAGGACAAGCCTTGAGAGTGAGCCATGAGGAAATTATTGGAAGCCAAAGAAAATAGATGGGAAGAAAAAAATAGAATTCACACTAGCTTGGTCAATTAAATGTTCATTTTATCTTGCCTCCAGTTACAATGAGAAGACACACATTAAATGCCATGCCATGTGGCCAAGCTTGAGCTGGGCAAGGAGGCAATATCTGTCCTTGTGGGTTCTTTCTTTCTTTTTTCTTTTTCTTTCTTTCTTTCTTTCTTTTTTTTTTTTTTTTGAGATGGAGTCTCACTCCTGTTGCTCACACTGGAGTGCAATGGCACCATCTCAGCTCACTGCAACCTCTGCCTCCTGGGTTCAAGCAATTCTCCTGCCTCAGTCTCCCAAGTAGCTGGGATTACAGGTTTCCGCCACCACACCCAGCTAAATTTTTGTATTTTTAGTAGAGATGGTGTTTCACTATTTTGGCCAGGCTGGTCTCGAACTCCTGACCTCAGGTGACCCACTCGCCTCGGCCTCCCAAAGTGCTGGGATTATAGGCACAAGCCACTGTGCCCAGCCCCTTATAGTTTATTTCTATAAACAATTTCTGGCTCCAAGTAGACAAATAGCCTCAAATAAGTTGGAGTCAAGTTGCCAGTGTGCACTTTCATAAAGCCTTGAGTTCTCCTTGACTCTTTGGGTGCTGACTTTTTAAGAATAGTTGGAGGTATAGAAAGTTCTCTTGCTAGTCATCAAAATCAGCTTCACTTATCTAATGTTGTTTTTGTTACACATTGTTCATCATTTAATACTGCAGAAGCATGAGAAAGGTCAATGTTGCTGAAATAAGTGTCTAGAGTAAGTCATTTGACGAAGGCAAAAAATAAATTCATATTGTTTTCCCCTTCCTTTTAGGTGTCATCCTGGGAGCAGTGTGTGGAGGGCTTCTTCGCTTGGCATCTCCCATCCACCCTGATGTGGTTATGTTAATAGCCTTCCCAGGGGATATACTCATGAGGATGCTAAAAATGCTCATTCTCCCTCTAATCATCTCCAGCTTAATCACAGGTAAGACTACCTCACTAGTGCCTGGCTAACATGGGTCATACTCCTGCCCTGGCTTTTAATTAACTGTAGAATCTCAATTTGGTTGAGTGAATGTGATCGTCTATGTCATTTCATTTCAGAGCTTTGGTTTTCCCGTCTCTGAAATGAGGATAATCAACCCTAAAGAAATAAAAGCTTGCCATCGATTAGTCAGTCTATTTGTCTTTCTCTCCAGCAAAAAAAAGAAAAAAAAAAAAAGAAAAGAAAAGGAAACACAGCCACATGTTACAAGTGATGATACCTCTAGTGGTTTTAAATTTTTTTTTTTTTTGAGATGGAGTCTCCCTCTGTTGCCCATGCTGGAGTGCGGTGGTGCAATCTCAGCTCACTGCAACCTGTGCCTCGTGGGTTCAAGCGATTCTCCTGCCTCAGCCTCCTGAGTAGCTGGGACTACAGGCATGTGCCATCATGCCTGGCTAATTTTTGTATTTTTAGTAGAGACAGGGTTTCACCATATTGGCCAAGCTGGTCTCGAACTCCTGACCTCATGATCCACCCGCCTCAGCCTCCCAAAGTGCTGGGTTTACAGGCATGAGCCACTGCACCTGGCCTTAATTTTTAATGTCTACTTTTCTCCCCTTTCTAAATTATATTTTGTTCAGATACTGATAAAGGTAATAGATGGAAAAGGAAATTATCTACTATTTTAATTGGGAATTGAGGGAGATTGGCATTAAAAATAAATGAAATGCTAGGTATGAAAGCCCTCTGAGTTTTTCAGAACAAAGTTACTCCTAATATGTGGCATCATGTTCACTTATTTTTCACTACCACCAAGTTGGCCAATGTATGATTTGTTAACAGGTGTATATCCTGAGTCCCAGCATCAATTATCTTTGACTAAAATAATTAATTACTTTATTTGAAAGAATTTGTTCTTCCTCTGTGGGCTTATACTGGTATTTTCCTCCTTACCAAATAATATTGCTCAAACAGGGTATAAATTGATGCCCTTTGGAGACTAAACTCTGAGTTAAGGGCAGGAAGCTGAGCTTTGGTCCATATTTGGGTACCAGCCAGCTAAGTGATCTGGAGAAGTTGTTCCCCTGGACTGGCCACCTCATGAAAGAAGTGAGTGAGGCTCTGGTAACTCCAGGAGATTCAGGGGCTGAGCTGGGTTGAGGCTTCAGCTGGTTGACCAGTGACCCCAGTACCTGAAATGCTGGAACTCAGGATCAGGCACTTAGGGGCTAAGTGGGACCTTATCATTCAGCGCTAGATTGAGTGAAAGGGTGCATTTACCATCAGTGCTCCTCTATAAACCAGAGAAAATGTTCTCTGCACCTGTTAACAGGTCATACGTTGGCCAACTTGGTGGGGAAACCTAGCTCCCGTCGGCTAGAATTAGACTAGGTTGTAAAGAGAAGTAGGTCACACGTAGGTCAGCTTAATTTAGAGCAGCTCACATCACTAACTTCTTCCCCCATAGCAAAAAGGACTAACACCCAAAAAGGGGTTCAATCTCTCTTTCTGGTAAAAGCAGGAACTGAAACCAGGAAGTGAACACATTCAAGAAACAACTGGAAAAAAACCCAGTGGGGCTGGAGTTTTTGTGAATTTGCTTGGAATTTCCTCTAACCTCCCTAGGTATAGATGAAGTGCCCACCATTGGCAGGGTGCTTCACGGGGTGTTCCCTAATCCCTGCATGAGGCTGGGAATGTGGATCTTCATGCTTCACCTCAGAGAAATGAGAGGACTGGGCAAAATCGTTATTCTCAGACTCTCCATGTCAGTTACCAGTAATATATTCAAAAGACATTTTGAGTGTGGCACAGAACTACTAGCTTTTTAGTCTTCCAAGTGAGGACATTAAAACATAAATAAATAAACAAGTTAAAAACTAGCATGTACCAGCAGCATCGCTTCATAAAACAAAGGAGATGTTAAGACCAAAAAAAATAAAAAGTGGAAAGGAATAATCTCAGAATTAAAAATGGGATGTCTTCAACTTTATTTTAACTCATTATTGCAGACTGACAAAAAATTTGTTACAGACCATTTGTAAACTCTAAACAGGAGGATCTCCAACTCTCCCAGTTCTGTAAAATCTTGAAAATCTCCCTGGATAATAGAATGATAAACTATGGGATTGATCAAATATTCAATACAGTCGGCCCTGCATATCTGTGAGTCCCACATGTGCAGATTGAAAATATTTGAGAAAAAAAACTAATAAAAAATACAAAATAATGCAAGTTAAAAATATAGTATAACAGTTATGTACATAGCATTTACATTGTATTAGGTATTGTAAATAATTTAGAGGTGGTTTAAAGTAGACAGGAGGATGTGCATAGGTTATATACAAATACTACACCATTTTACAGAAGAAACTTGGGCACTCTCAGATTTTGGTATCTGTTGGGAGTCCCAGAACCAACCCTCTCATGGATATTGAGGGAAGACTACAGTAGGAGATTTAATCAACCATTAACACATTTGAGTAATATGAAGCTAACGTCATAGAAATGTAGACACAGGTCATTAGCACAAACGTAATAGAATTAATCCTTCTGCATTTCTTTTCAATCCAGGGTTGTCAGGCCTGGATGCTAAGGCTAGTGGCCGCTTGGGCACGAGAGCCATGGTGTATTACATGTCCACGACCATCATTGCTGCAGTACTGGGGGTCATTCTGGTCTTGGCTATCCATCCAGGCAATCCCAAGCTCAAGAAGCAGCTGGGGCCTGGGAAGAAGAATGATGAAGTGTCCAGCCTGGATGCCTTCCTGGACCTTATTCGAAATCTCTTCCCTGAAAACCTTGTCCAAGCCTGCTTTCAACAGGTAACCCAGAGTTCAGATGTTCTCTCTTCTCCAGTCCTCTAAGTTATCAAGGCGATAACTTAAGAGTATTTTAACAGACCAACTCTGGGTAGAAATTTTCTAAATATATAATTATCTCTGTCTAGGCCCAGGGATTCTATGAGGTGGTTTAGGGCAGGATCTTGGGATTGGAGTCTCCTGGTTTTAATTTTTTTAAACATCCCTTTTTTTCCAGCTCACTTAATATATTTTTGCTGTGGGATTGTCCTCCTTTCTCCCCCACCCCCCCCCCCCGCCTCTCTCTCTCTCTCTCTCTCTCTCCCTCCCTCTCTCTCTCTCTCTCTCTCCTTATATCTATCTCTTCCTTTCCTTTTTGTGCATGAGGCTGGGAAATGTGTCTTTGAGTTGTCCATGGGCATATTTTTATTAGCCTTGCCCACAACCTTCTAGAATACACAGTGGTTCTCAAACGTGGCAGTAAAGCTAAACCACCAATGGCACTTTTAAAAAAATACAAATACCCTACACAATCAGAATCTCCAAGAGATGAATCTGGAGCTTGGGTAGTTTTTTAAATTGTGGAAGTAATACATGCAGATTATGAAAATTTTAGAAAGTATAGAAGTACACAAAGTAAAAGTTAGAAGCTTCTGCTTCCCCTTCTCTAGAGCTACTTATGTTGAGAATGCTGTTTCCTCCCCTGTATTTTTCTTTTGCCACTTATGCAAGTGTGCATAATCTTTAAAAGAATTCAACCCTGGCTGGGCGTGGTGGCTCATGCCTATAATCCCAGCACTTCGAGAGGCCGAGGCAGGGGGATCATTTGAGGTTAGGAATTCAAAACCAGCCTGGCCAACATGGTGAAACCCCATCTCTACTAAAAATGCAAAAATTAGCCGGGTGTGGTGGCGCATGCCTGTAATCCCAGCTACTCGGGAGGCCGAGGCAAGAGAATTGCTTGAGCCCGGGAGGCAGAGATTGCAGTGAGCAGAGCCACTGCACTCCAGCCTGGGAGACGGAGTGACATACTGTCTCAAAAACAAAAAACAAAAAAACAAAAAAAAAGAATTTAACCCAATGGTACTCCATTGTTCATAAAACGTTACATCTGACTTTTTCACAGAACAATGTTTGAACAATGAAAAACATTGAACAATGTTTTAAAGTCATCTCTTCTTTTTTTCATGATTGCATAATATTTTTAAAGGATAAATTCCTAGAAGTAAAAATGTCCTTGTCAGGACAAGGAGTTTTGTATTTTGAGTTTGCTGGCTGTTGCAAAATGGCACTACAAAAGTATGTAGCAGTGGGTACAGATTCCTTAGCAATGTATACTCTTGCTTGCTGCATACATGCCTATACATTTTTTTAAACTTGAGATTTTTTTAAAACAGGTGATTCTGTTGAGTGGAACCACTGAGTTAGCTGAGTAGGCCCCATTCACTACCCTGTTTTCTAGCCCCAAGGCCAGCATAGGCTAGAACACATCCCGCACACCCCGGTTTCCATTAACCCAGGTAGAAACTAAGCTAAAACCAAGCAGTCTAAGCTAAAACTTCAGCCATTTCCAAGCACAGAAGAATGAGCTTAGGAAACAGTTTGCTTAGAAGAAAAGTATGTATTCCTAGCTGTCTCCAAAATGTAGTCCTTAACCATTGCTGAGCCCAGATTACTCTGGGTTGGGATATGTTCCCTGGTTTCAGATACTATTTTAGTGGAACATGTAGCATGGACCTATATTAAAGGAAACCATTCCACGCCAGGGAAGTTGGATGCAGAAATAAACAGAAATAAGCTGGAGAAGAAGGTGCTTAGTGGGCTCCATCTGTATAGCGTGTTTGCCCCTCAGCCAGCCTGCTCAGAAAGATGAACTGACTTGCTTTAGTGTGAGAGACACGATTGGGTGCTATCCATTCTTAACATTTTGGAAAGAGCATTCTGGGATCGCAGCTGCAGGAGGCTGAGCTGGTAGTAGATTGGGGGAGAGTGGAGCATAGGAGGGCCTGGGAAGGACAGATTTGGACACAGTTCTGTGCCTGGTCATGCCATGCTCTGTGAAAAAAGGAAGGCAGGACCAAGAAGCAGGCAGGCTCCTGGAGCTATTGCTCTGGTCTTGGAGTGAACTTTTGTGGAGCTGGCCACACTCACACTCGGTGAGCGCTGTGGTGGATGGGCAGTCTTTGCATGCAGCTGCCCATGGCAAAGGCTGCTCTCTGCCATTCTGGAATAGAGACCTGAGCCATTCCCTGCCCCACGCCAGCCCTGACCCCAACTTTCTATTGCCAAAATTCATATGAGGACTGAGCCTTGGTCCCTCAGTAGGCTCAGTATCAAGGTCCCTTTGGATTAGGACAACCTGAGGAAGAATGGTGTAGAATCCACCTCAGGGAGAGGATGGTTACAGATTCCTTAAGCCTGGAAGGAAGGCACTGAAGAGGACTTGAGGACAGGAAACTCTTTTAAAGGGACGTGGCATTTCCAGAGAGAAAGGGTGCGTGAGAGACATCTTCTGTGTCCATGAGTACAGCTAGAAGTCATTTAAAATAACCTGTCTTGAGTGGAGGAGGCTCCTTGACCAGAGTTAGAAACAGAAATGTAAAGAGGAAGATGAGCTCCCCGCAGAGTGGAGACTGCCTCCTCCCAGGCGACAGGGCCTGGTTTGCCCAAGTTAAGTCCCTGTGTCTTTGTGAGCAGAGAGGTCTCCAGCTTGCTTTCTGGGGCTTACTTTGAACCAAAGTGAGATTTCCAAGACAGTAACTGGCTGTAAGATATGACCTTACAACGTTAAATCCAGCCCAGTAATAGAGACCGCATGGGTTCTTTTCCTCCAGAAAATTCCGTGATCTGTGTATGTTCACTCGGCCAATACTTGTGAGCAGGACGGGCTGCCAGGCTCTCTGCTTTGTACAAGGATGCCACGGGGGGAGGAGACAGATGAGGACCCTGCCCCAAGGAGCTCACTTACATTAAAGGGGAGGGAGGTAGACCAAAACAAACATCAGGGAAACACAGAAGAGACTTAAACATTAAGACAGGTGTTCTCTGAGGGCTAGAGGCAGGATGATAGGCTGGTGGTAACTAGGGGAGATATTTCAGCTGAGAGGATAGGGGATCAGAATGAGTTAGGCCTACAAAGAGCTGGGGAAAGGAGCTTCTCAGTAGAGGCACAGATATGCAGAAGCTGAAAAGTACTTATAATGTTCAGAAAAGAAAAAGGAGGCTGTGTGAGGCCAGTGTGGAGGTATAGTGAGTGGAGGAAGGTAAACTCAGCTCAGGCATGACTTGGTGGGCCAGGGGAAGCTAAGGATATAGATAGGGTTATAGGTAGCCACACTTACCTATAGACTGTATGCAGACAAGAAGAAAGTTGAGTAGGTCAGTTTATGGTTTTGCAGGTTTTATGATGAGACATGATGGTGGCTTAGGGACAGGGAGACTGGAATTAGCACCTGCTATGCTTTGGATGTCTGTCCCTTCCAAAATTCATGCTGAAATTTAGTTGCCATTATAACAATATTGATAAGTGGACCCTTTGGGAGGTGATTAGGCCATGAGGTCTCTGCTTTCATGGATGGGATTAATGCTGCTATAAAAGAATGAGTTTGGCTCCTTTGTGCCTCTCTTTGCCTTTCTACCTTCCTCCATATAATGATGCAGCAAGAAGGCTCTTGCCCGATGCTGATATCTTCATTGTGTACTTCCCAGTCTCCAGAATGGTGAAAAAATAAATTTCTGTTTATCATAAATTATCCAGTCTTAGGTATTCTGTCGTAGCAGCACAAAACAGACTAAAACAGCACTTACATGGAGTTGTGCAACCGAACAGCTTCTGTGAATCAGGAACTCAGGCAGAGAACTCGGCCTGCGTTCGTGTTCCTATCTCCTCAGCTTCAACTTACATCACTGGCCTTTGCTATTTGAAATCTGGATTTCTGGAGTCAAACATAACTCATCTCGAATCCTGCTTCAGCAACTAACTAGCAAGCTGCCCTTGAGTCGAAGGGCTACTGTTGACCTAAGACGTAATGGATGTAAAATAGGTAGCAGCTGGCCTCCTGCCTGATCCTGACAGCCACCATTCATTTAGATCCATGAGTATTTCTCTTTTAAACCAAACGTAGGCTTCTTTAGCATCCTTAGGATAGGTTGACAGTTGGCTTTGGTTCCCTTTTCTTTCCTGGGAGCATGACTCTGCTGTTCACATAAGCTTCTCTTGTGATCCTCCCTGCATTCTCTTCACACCAATGTTGCCCAGATGAAGGGGCCACATTGAGGGGAGAAGTGGGCTGCCTGTTCTCCCCTCACACAGCAGGCCCTAGGCTTCCTCTCTCCCTGCACGAGTACATGTGGCCAGGCTAGAACAGAGAGCACCCTGCCTCACCTCAGAGAACACTGACCTCCCTTCCCATCCATTTTAAATAACTGGCAGTTCAGCATTGCTTCCTATGGGAACCAGCACAGTAGGATTGGGTCCCTATAGCTTAACATACAGCACAGACTGTGGAAATAACTCAATGGAGGTGAGGTCATCTGAGTTGACATCCCAGTTCTGCCCATAACTCCATGACGTCCAACAAGTCACTTGACTTTCCCGTACATCTTCTTCCGTATCTATTCGGGGTTCAGCCATCTGTTACCTACTACATGCCAGCACTGACAATCTAGGATTCTGCATTGAGTTCTATTTTAATGCCCCTGGAGGTGGTGTTTTTTAAGCTCAGATGTGGATTTTTATAGCACTCTGCATGTAGGGTGCCTGGCACCTTTAAAAATAGGACCACTGCCATGGATGTCGAGGAATAGCGGGAGAGGTTCCTTGTGAGTCATCTGACAGAGACACTTGGGGAACATTGAGAAAGGCTTGGCATCACTGCTCAGAAGGAGTGGCTGTCTTCCCACCTTGAATTTGGATCTGAAATATAAGCAAATGCTCCTGCCATGGTGGCTGCTGGCAGCTGGCACTCTTGGTGCCCAGATGGAGATTTCCAGCTGAGCCTGGCTCTAGAAGGAGCCCAAACTGAGGCAGCCTGTGATACCCCTGTCCAGTGGGGACCAGGTAGAGGGGAAAACAGGTGGATCATGAGTTGCTGATCTGACCCCTGCCAAGGCTTCCTATTCTTAACCAGATCCAGGGCCCATCACAACTGGAAGGACCATCACAACTGGAAGGACCATCTAACTGGGTCTCACAATTGGGAAGAGCATCCAAGTTAGACATTTCATACTGTTTCTGAGCTACAATCATAGGAGTGAAAGAAGACATTTATCCCCCAAGTTTAAGCCTGTGTCCTATTATTGACTACAGTACTTATAGTACATTTGCAAATTATTTTCATACATTCTATATTTATGAAATTGTGTCATTTGAAGCAACATGGATAAGACTGGCGGTCGTTATCTTAGGTGAAATAAGCCAGGCACAAAAAGACAGATATTGCATTTCTCATTTATATGTGGGAGCTAAAATATTTGAACACATGGAAAAATAGTGGAAAAATAGATAACAGAGGCTAGGAAGGGTGAGTGGGGGGAAAGGGGAAGGACGAAGGGAAGTAGCTTAAAGGGTACAAACATACAGAAAGATAGAAGGAATTCATTCAATGTTTGATAGCAGAGTTGGATGACTGTACTTAAAAAATGCATTGTACTCAGATGTTAGACACCTTAAATGCCCTGATTTGATCATCACACATTGTATACATTAAAAAATTTATCATGTACCCCATAAATTTGCACAAATAAAAAATTGTGTAATTATCTGTGATTAGGACAATTGTATCTCACTGTGTATAATAAAACACCACTTTGTAAATATAGACATATAAAATATTCTCCAGTTTTCATAACCTTGTTTTGGCATTTCTTAATTATTGTTAACCTGTTGGGAACCTTAAAATATATGAGTAGCCAATCTTTTTTTTTTTCACCTTATAGGCCAAATCTCAGCTCTATGCCTTTTTTCCCTCACTCTGTTAGATTCAAACAGTGACGAAGAAAGTCCTGGTTGCACCACCGCCGGACGAGGAGGCCAACGCAACCAGCGCTGTTGTCTCTCTGTTGAACGAGACTGTGACTGAGGTGCCGGAGGAGACTAAGATGGTTATCAAGAAGGGCCTGGAGTTCAAGGATGGGATGAACGTCTTAGGTAGGCCAGCTGGTGGTCCGGGATTCTGCTTCCCTGGCAATGGCTGGGCTATCCTGCACTCCCTTTTCAGAAAACTGATGACTCAGCTGTCCTCTAGGTGGAGCAGGAGGCTCTCTCTGGGGAGCAATTTGAGGGTCACTGGGACTGAGAGCTGAGCGATTTAAGGAAGAGAGAGAAGGGCAGAGGAGACCATAAGGGGACAGGGCAGCAAGAAGCTGGGTATGGGAAAAAAGGAGGGAGCTCACCGTCATTGGGCACATTCCCTGACTCTCTGTGTGGTGTTAGAAAGTCACTTTCTCTGACTCTCTGTGTTATTAAGTGACACATCCATTGCTTTCGTTTCTTAAGCATTTTTTAAAAGCTGCCCCCATGTACTGGTGCTGTGCTAGGTGCGGGGGCTGGACCACCACAGCCCTTAGTCTGCAAACAAATGCAATGCTACCAGGATTGTAAAGTGTTGGAGTAGGTACCAAGGGAGCTTTACAGATTATCTTGTTATCTTGTTTTACTTTCTGGGATCCCAGTGAGCCCTTTCTCCTAGCCCAGTACCTTCTTAGCATGCCATCCTAGAGGTTTTTGGGCTCTGCAGTTGGGCAGACCTGGGTTTGGATCCAGTATGGGCCACTTACTGGTTATCTGACCCTGGGCAAGTTACTCCATTTCTCTGAGCCTCATTTGTAAAATGGAAATAGGATTGGCATCTATTTTGTAGATTACTGTGAGGATGAAATGTGATTGTGCATATAGGGCACAGTAGCACATGCCATGTGCTCTCTCCGTATGAGCTGTGATCATTATTCAAAGTGGGTGGAGAGCTGAGGAGTTCAGTAAGAAAATACCTCCATGAGGGACAGAGGTTTATTACCATGTGAGCGGCTCTAGTCTGCCCAGTTTGCTCCCCTCCCACTCAGTGGGTCCACTCCCTTCCGTAACCTCCATCCATCACTAGAATGGTGTCCCCGAGACAGGAAATAGGGGCATTTGGCCAAAACCTGGGAGAAATGGTGAATCTGGATGGATGAAGTATGTTTATTTATCCAAGCACAATTTCTAAAGGTTTGGATGACAGCTACTTAGAGATGAATGAGCTCAGTAGTCCTTTCACGTTGTCATCTGAAAGATCACATGGCCTTGTCTCCTTAGTTGGGTTGTCAGATAAAATACAGAATGCCTGGATAAATTTGAATTTTAGATAAAAAGCAAATAGTTTTTTAGTGTAAGTCACAAATATTGCATGGGACATAATAATACTAAAAAAAAAGTATTCATTTTTTACCTGAAATTCAAAAAGTAATTGAGTGTCATGTTTGTTTGTTTGTTCCAAATTTGGTAAGCCTACTCCTTAGCCATCTAGAATGGTAGAGAGAAAGAGGAGAGAGAGGGAGCAGAATTGCACAGTCACTGAGAAGCAGAAGCAGATCTTTTTTGTTTGGCTTGGCAGGAAGCAGGTTGGATGAGTGAGAGTGAGGGAAGAGATGAGCTGACTAGGTTGCTGGGCAATGGAAGATCAATAAACATTGTTTAACAACCAGTGGGAGGTGAGAGGTGGAAGGAGCGAGGAGTAGGAAGGAGAGTTCCTCTGGGGAGATTTTGCAAATATCCCCAGCACCCACCACCGAGCAGCTCTTCTCCCTCACTGTCCAGCTATCTATGTTCCTTTCAGGTCCTTCCTAACTCCCCCATGGTCTTTTCTGGTGGGTCATAACTTAAAACACCCAACCCCCTTTTGTCAAAGTGTTCCTCAGTCTTCTCCATACTCAGGAGGAGCTTGAGGCCATGAACAATGGGGCCAGGGCTTTGGAGTGAATCATTCAAAGACTTTCCTGGTTGTTTCCAGAGTCTTGGTGGATTCTGGGAAGTCACAGGACCTTTGGCTCTACTGGGGAGTTTCAACACAACTCACTACTCTGTAACCCCAGCGGCCAAGTCCAAGAGGGTTTTGTTCAGATGCAACACCCCCGTTCCAGTGAGCAATTTCAATTAGGCAATGTTTACAAAGAAAAATTACAAGCTGAATACGGTTTCCATCCAAGTGCAGATCAAGGCTCTGGAAAGCCAAGGGAAGTTAGACTGTTGAGAAACTTCCCATTTACAAATCATGGCTGAAATAAGGTTCTTTCCACGGTCTTCTGAGGGTGGAGATAGTGGCTTTTTTATTTGTTTGTTTTGCTGTCTTTCTGTTTTTTGGCTTTGGAAAGTCCCGAGGATTAAGCACTTGCAATAAGTGAAGATACAACCCCAGCTCTTGCCTCCCACTTCTTTAAGGAACCATTTCTCTCCTAAAAAACCTCCAGAAACAATTCTGGTCTCCACCCTCTCCCAACTGCTTAAATCAACTCCAACTGTTCCTTTAAAAACCTATCTCTCATAGATATGGCCAGTTTCTGCTGACACTGAATGGAGCTTTTTTTATTCCAGTTCTTTGGGACCTTGATACCTCGGGCATTTTCTCTTAATTTCAAATGAAATTAACCAAGTAATATGAGCTATTCTCAGCCAGAATATTCAGATTGATTCTCTTTGACCTCCCACGTAGCAGACTCCTCTCCATGGGCTTGAGAGAAGGACTTGGGAATGGCCTGAAATTGATTTTGTACATTACTGCGGAACTAGTTCCCTCTGTCCTGGATCTAATCTTCCCTAAGCCTTTGTCTTTCCAGACCAATAACTTACTTGTGAAGTCATTTGTCAAGCTTTCTAGCTGAGAGCAAAAAGAGGAGATACTAAATGTGAAGTATTAGTAACCCCAAGTGCAAGTGATGGATTCTTTTTGCTGAAGATAGAAAGGATCCAGCAAAGGGTAGTTAGACAATCTGGGTTGATATGTGCTTGGTGTAAAGAGGTTAGTGGGTTAGATGACTAGGGAAAGAGTAAAGTCAAAGGTTCAGAGAGAAGGAATTTTGTTATAAGAGAATCAAATTATAATGCTAAAATTTACTGAGTATGGGTTAAGACTTTAGGCATAACTGGACACCATAGGAAACTGGATATAATAGGGAGGGACTGGAAATTAGGACTGCCAAATTGAGCAGGTTAGGTGTGGAGAAGAGGAGGAAAGAGAAGATGGCTCATACTTCAGAGTCAGAGAACAAGTCAGGTGGGGAAGCAAAGTCCTGTAGCCAAGGACATAGCAACACTGATTTATAGAACATGTAAGTAGTAAGAACTGAGACCTCAAGAATGGCAATACTAGATCAGGGGTCAGAGGTCAGGGAGCACATGGGGATTGGAAATTAGAAATCCAGATAGCCCCCAGGCAGTACTGGAAACACCTGTAAGCCGCACAATGTGCCCCAGTCCCTGGATGCGTTGGAGTGAGACTGCAGGCCTGAGCGTGAGGTACCGAGGGAGAGAATGGAAGGGACCAACAGGAGTGGTAGGAAGAGCAAAGCCAGGCCTAGCCTTGGAGGAACTAAAGTGTAGGGCAGATTCCCAGGATCTCAGGCACAGGGGATGAGGTAAAGCCAACACAGAAGTAAGACTCATGGTTGGGTATTGGAGTTGGTCCAAGACCTAGTGCAATGTGATGCTGACATGAAGAGGGCAGAGATGAAGCTCCTTAAATCTTTCCTGGGGTTAGGATTGACCCCAAAGGCTGATGTGAGGCTGGACTTAGATACAAGTCAAGAATGTCAAGTAAAGGAAGAAAAGAGTGGAGGGACTAGGAACTAGCAAAATCTGACAGTGAATCTATATTCTGTCTTTATGATCCTGAAAAAATAAATAAAATTAAAAAAGCATTCTAACCATTTCAATCATGAAAATAATTATGACAAATTCATAAATAACAGATTACATTTAAAAAAACTGGATAAAATGGAATTTCGGATTCCTTATTGTTTTCCCTTTGATTTTTCAGTATTTTTTTCTCCCTGTCATTTTATGTGTGTAGTAATAAAAAATAATTTTACATATAGGATTTTGTAAGAGTGAAACATACCAGCCATGCATTGATTTGGGATAATACCAAAACAAGCTAGATGTAACTCTAGCAAAGAATTTATTGGCTAATTGGCCTCTGCTATTCCAATATTGGCTCCAAAGTTTGTATGATAATCCCCAAGTCCCAACAGGCTTTTCCTCGTTAATCTGTGTAATAAAGGAATCTGCTTACACATGATTTCATAAGTGAGGGGAGGGAAAAGAGAGCACCTTTTAGTTTGGAATGAAAATGAATACATTTTCTTCAAGGACCTAATGCTGCTTACAGTTTAACTTGCTCATGTGGAAAGTGTTCAAGAAATCCAAAATTATCCAGGGGAAAGTTACATTCAGTATCAAATATAATGCTTTGTTCTTTTAATGTCTAATTCATAGGGTAACCAGCAGTGAGAACATGGCTCCATACATTGGGAATGGTAAAGAATGAGGGAGAAAAAGTACATTTTTTGTAATTTGTCCTTCTATGTAATGTGATTCATCCAACAGGTCTGATAGGGTTTTTCATTGCTTTTGGCATCGCTATGGGGAAGATGGGAGATCAGGCCAAGCTGATGGTGGATTTCTTCAACATTTTGAATGAGATTGTAATGAAGTTAGTGATCATGATCATGTGGTAAGTGGCCTTGTTCTTACTTCTTAGCAGTGGGTTGAGAAAGCCTTGGGGTCCCCAGAGGATACTGGAGCTCTCCCTGCAGGAAAAAGTTGGCATGGGCTGATCAAATGTCTTTCCAGAAAGACTTTGAGAAAGGGATGAAAATATCTTTTTTGGAGCTTCCCCTAGAACAAGTGTAGACAAATTATGCCCCTTGGGCCAAATCTAACCTACTCTCTCTTTTATATGGCCAGCGAGTTGAGAATGGGTTGTATATTTTTATGTAACTGTCTTAGTTGGGTTGCCATAACAAAATACCAAAGACTGAGTGGCTTAGAAACAACAGAAATTTCTTTCTTATGGTTCTGGAGGCTGGAAGTTCAAGATCAGGGTGCCAGTATGGTTGGGTCTGATAAGGGGCCTTTTCCAGGTTGCAGACCAACTTCTCATTGTATCCACAGTTAGAAAGATATTTATTTATTTTTATTTGAATTTTATTCTATTGTAATTTTTTTGAGACAGGGTCTGACTCTATCACCCAGACTGGAGTGCAGTGGTGTGATCATGGCTCATCGCAGGCTCGGCCTCCCTCACTGTAGCTCAAGTGATCCTCCCACCTCAGCCCCTCAAGTAGCTGGAACTACAGGTGCACACTACCATGCCCAGCTAATTTTTGAAAATTTTTTATAGAGACGAGGATTTCACTATATTACCCAGGCTGATCTCAAACTTCTGGGCTCAAGTGATCTTCCCACCTAGGCCTCCCAAAGTGCTGGGATTATAGGCATGAGCCACCTCGCTCAGCATGAAAAGAGATTCAGAAAGCTCTCTGGGGTCTCTTTTACACAGTCATTGTCTTTCCATCTATTATAACAAAATACCTTAGACTGGGTAATTTATAAACAATAGGAATTTATTGCTCACCCTTCTGGAGGCTGGCAAGTCCAAGATCAAGGTACTAGCAGATTTGGTATCTGTGGAGGGCCTATTCCTCGTAGTTGGCACCTTTGTGTGTGCTCTCACATGGTAGAAAGGGAAAACAGGCTCCCTCGAGCATCTTTTATTAAGAGCACTAATTCCATTGAAGAGGGCACAGCCCTCATCACCTAATCATCTCCCAGATGGTTCACCTCTTAACACCACTGCCCTGGGAATTAAGTTTCAACATAAGAATTTGGGGGACATATGAATTCAACTTATGAATTGCAGTTTTTGCCATTACTTTCAATGGGAAAAACCACAGTTACTTTTGCACCAACCTAATAATTAACTTGCCTAAGATGATTATAGCTAGGGAGAGGAAGAGCTGTAGTTCATATTGGTATCAAAACCCTTGATGCATAAGCAGGTAGGTTTTTTGGTTTGGATCGTCTAAGCAATATTGTTTCCCCTTTATTTCACATGTGTTTATAGTCAGTGACTCTGAAATCTAGGGGAGCCTAGGAGAGCATGAGTATCTATTCTCTCATTGTGGAAGCTCTGTCATCTTCAATCATTGGAAACTTTTGGTGTCCCATATCCATCAGACAGAAAGCTTTTTACTTGCATTTGTTTCAGATCTCTAGGATGGTCCTGTATGTCTGCCTAGAAAAAAATAAAACCACTCTTAGACCAAGTCATACCTGTGTTCTCTTTTCCACAGGAATTCTGGGTTACCTATTCCCCATCTCTGCATGTTCCAGGCCTACCCACCTTCTTTGCCAAACTTCTTCTGATCCTTTTCCACTTTTCTGTAGGTGTCTTTCGTGGAAATTCCAGCTGCTTTTTCTCTTCCTCCTTTTCTTGTCTCCCACCCCACCTCACAAGGGCAAAAATCTGTTCTTTTTTATCTCCACAGAACCAAACATGGTGATGTGCCTGTAGTCAATTGTTACTAAAACTTTAGGAACGAGTGGGATAGCTGATAACTCCAAGATTTCAGATCAAGAAGATGCTCCTCACTATTTCATGAACCATATTTAACAGACCTGGCTTGTTCAGATCATTGTTTTACGGTGCTTTTAAAACACAGAAAGGATGCTAGTGAAATAACATCATGTTCTCTTTTATGATTGTACTGAACCCTCAGCTTCTCAGGCAATGCTAGATTTCTGGATATTTCTGTTGTATGAAGATTTGGGAATATGGTGGTGTTGTAAAATATATATATATATATGTATATATATATACACACACACACACACACAGAGAGAGAGAGAGAGAGAGACAAAGACTCGCCCTGTTGCCAGGCTGGAGTGCAATGGCACGATCTCAGCTCACTGCAACCTCCGCCTCCCGGGTTCAAGTGATTTTTCTGCCTCAGCCTTCCAAGTAGCTGGGATTACAGGTGTGCACCACCATGCCCGGCTAATTTTTTGTATCTTTAGTAGAGATAGGGTTTCACCATGTTGGCCAGGCTGGTCTTGAATTCCTGACCTTATGATCCGCCTGCCTTGGCCTCCCAAAGTACTGGGATTACAGGCATGAGCCACCGCATCCAAATGTAAAACATATTTTTTAAGTCCTTCAGATTCATCTGAGTCTGTTGAGACTTTAGTACACAATGCAGAATAAGTCTCTTGCTTAAACATTAGGATTTTCCATTGTTTCCTAGAATTTCTAGCAGATTACGCATCTTTACGCCAAACATGCAGCCCGTATTTCTGTAATATGATGCCAATAACATGGGCAATGTATGTGTCCTTCCTATGTCCATACCAATGTGATTTCCACTAAACCCTTGCAGGAAAGGGAATCTTCTAGGACATCAGATGAGTCTGTGGGATGAAGTGTAGCCTCCCTTCTCCCCAGAGATGGAGGGTGGTGGTATGAATTAAGAAGTTTCCCATTCACTGAAACCAGAACTCCTAAATACTTATTATCATCTTGGGAGGTAAAAAGTGGTTGTGAGGCAGGAATAAGACCTTAGAATGATTTCTGACAGCTGTTTGGTTACCTCATCTAGGCTCATAGTCAGGACAATGTCACATGACATGAGATGCCAATTCTACACATTTCTTTAATTCTTTCACTGCCTCGTCAGCATCAGTATTTGCTAATGATGTGTGTAAAAAGGTTCTGGATAAAACAGTCAACTACTCTTTAACTGACCCCTCAAAGCTTAAAAAAATCAGAATTCTTTTGTATTCTTTTCTATGTAGCAGTTATAATAGTAATAATAGCAGAATGTAACATTGAAAAGATTATAATAATTCTTTTTATTATTAAATTATAAATTAGAATTACTAACTTCTTGCTGTATGCTCAGTACTATTTCGGTTACAGTACAGGTACTAACCCATTTATTACTGAGGAAACAATTATTATTAAATAACTTAAATTTACCAAATTCCTGCTAAATACTTAATATTATTCCAATTGTTTTACATGCATTAGCTCATTTATTCTTCACAATAGTACTGAACAAAAATAGGTGCTTTTGTTAACCCATTTACCAAATGAGAAAACTAAGCACAGAGGTTGACTTGCCCAGTGTTATGGAGCTGTACGGAAGTGATACCTACATCAATTTCTTTTTGACTTCAGAC
This sequence comes from Homo sapiens, assembly GCF_000001405.40. Taxonomy (NCBI): domain Eukaryota; kingdom Metazoa; phylum Chordata; class Mammalia; order Primates; family Hominidae; genus Homo; species Homo sapiens. Next base: position 35,298,012 of record NC_000011.10, on the reverse strand, counting down.
TGGATTGAATCCAGGATCCTCCTATTGCAAGTTGTGTGACTTTAGGCAATTTAGACACTCTAAGCCCCGATATTCTGGTGTGTAAAATGGGATAATTCTAGAATCCAGGCCATAGGTTGCTGTGAGAATTAAGGCTGTGACCAACAGTCATGAAGCACCTTCTTTGTGCTGGGAACTGTCTAAGCACTTTACATGGATTAGTATTATAGTAATAGCTGTTTGCTGTTACCAATATTATCATCAATTCAATCCATATCCTTTGTATCTCTGTGTTCATGAATTCTTTAAGAAACCTGAAAACCCCTTAATTTTTGTATGATTTTCGTATCCTCATTTTCTTAGGTAGTTATTTAAAACATTTTTTTCAAAATTTGAAAAACTTAAACAGAAAGTAAAATGTTTCATAATCTCACCCCTATAAAAACATAAAGTGAGAAGTAAAATCTCTGCCTACTCTTCCAATTCCTTTTTCCAATAAACCACCATCCATCCACACTGTTAAATAAAAAACTATTCAATGACACGTGTTAAAACACAGTAAGGCAGATTTTATTCAGGATCATTGCAATGAGCACAGGGACCACAGCAACGGGATTTTGGAGTGGGGGAGAGAGATTGGGCTCACTTGCAAGTACAACATGGGTAAGTGGGAATTTATAGCCATGGAGCAAGGTGGGGGCAGTGGATGCTCGGGGGTAAGGAGTATTTTGGCTAAACCAACCCCACAGGATTCTAGCTGAAGGCCACAGGGTGACCAAACATCGTCCAGGAGAGGATGAAGAACCTGATCAGATTTGAGGGTGATCAGATTTTGAGGATGGAGGTTCTTGCTAACCTGACTTAGATGAGTTTTTTGCTAAACCGGATTTTATAAGGAAGGTTTAGCAAAGAGCCCAGAAGAGGCCAGAAGAAGGTTCAGACGCCTAACTGAAGTTTGGTCAAACAAAGAATCTTTGTCAATCCATCCATTTTTTTTTTCATTCAATAAATATTCTATTCTGTGCAGGCAATGATTTTAGGTACTGGTGAGATAATGGTGAATAAGACAGAGAAAGGTTCTGGCCCTTGTGGAGCTTACATTCTAGGAAAGGGAGAGAGGGAAAGCCAAAAGGGAGCAAATGGTAGCAAATTGTCTTTGTAGCACTTATTATTAATTCGAATAGTAATAAGTGCCGTGCAATAGCGAGAGATAGTGATGGGGGTAGAAGTGATGGCCCACGTGGTGCTGTCTGGAAAGGTGACCTTTAATGAAGACCTGCAGAGTGAGCCAAGCAACCTGGTGAAGAACTGAGGGGAGAATATTCCAAGAGGAAGAAGTGGCAGGGAAAGCCTTTTGAGGGTCAGAACAAAGGTCTAGAGAGGCTGCAGTGTGGTTGGTGAAAGGGGGCAAAAGGAAGTCAAGTTGGAGAGGTGGGCAGGAGGCAGATCCTCCAGGGTCCTGCAGGCCACCTTGATGGGTTGGAATTTCATTTCCTTGCAAAAGGAAGTCTCTGGAGGAATAATAAACCTGGAGGCTATACTAACTGCTTTTCACTCTGTCTTGATGAAAAGTTCTAATCCACAAATGGTAACTTTTAACAAAAATCACTCTTTGGGTAGCTGGAACTCCTATCCCTAAATGGATTGGGAAAGATGAAGATTTGTGATACTTTCTGAGCACAGACAGCACCTTTCAGCAACTCTTGGAATGTGTGTTTAGGTCTATTGACAAGCTATTGGAAACGTGTGGGACAGAACCAGAGGTGCTCCACAGCAGGGCTGAGAAAGTCCCTCAGCTTACCTCCACTCCAAGTGTCTGTCTCATCATCTGTCCCAGGCCTGAAAGTCCCAAATGAATTATTCCAGTGAGTTAAGACCTCAAAGATCCTGAAGTAGTTGGAGCTAAGGTAAATGGTTTCCAGAAGGTCACCAAGTAATATCTGCGTTTCATCAGTTGCAGTTAAGATTTTTGTTTCTTGAAATACTGGTTTTCAAACAGATCAGAATTACCTGGGGAGCTTGTTTAAAATATAAATGCCCCAAGGCCAGCTCCAGGACATTCTGACTCCATAGGTATGTGGTAAGCCCAGGGAATCCAGGTAAGCTCAGGTAAGCCCAGGGTAAGCCAGGGAATTGTTAACAGGAAGCTGGTGGTTTCTGGCACCTGGACACCGACTGAATTCTAGGTAGCTTGCCTGCTGTAGATGAGTGTGTTTGTGGAGCCCTGTGAGGGGCATCTTAGGCTGGCAAGGGCTGAAAGACAAAGTAGGTGGAGGCTAGAATGGATACAGTAGTAAGAAAAAGACTCCACAGGCCAGTCCTGGATGAATCTGTGGCCCTGAAAACAGAGAACAGGAACAGCCTAAGAACAGCATGGGAGCCATTCCCTCTCCCCAGGCTCTCCAGCCATGTCCTTCTCATGTGGAAAATGGACCAACAATCACTGGGCATTATTTGGCTTCAGAACTCTCCGTGGAGCCCTCAGCCTCTTTATGCACTTTGATTTGTGGTTTTGATTGCTGGCTTCATCTCAGAAGCTTTGAGTGGTGGCCTTGGGTGCTGGGCATTTGCCCATCCTTTTCCATGGAATGTTATTTTCAATTAGGTAATTCATTGATATGGAAACCCAGGAACCCAGAAGTCCCAGTTTCGGAGTGAAGGCCTAAGTTGTTTGTTTTAAAAATGGGTGCAGTTGGTCGGCCACACCTATAATCCTAGTGCTCTGGGAGGCTGATGTGGGAGGTTTGCTTGAGGCTAGGAATTTGAGACCAGCTGAGCAAAATAGTGAGACCTCCTACAAAAATAAAAATAAACAAAAATTAGCTGAGAATGGTGGCAAACACCTGTAGTCTTAGCTACTCAGGAGGCTGAGGTGAAAGGATTGCTTGAGCCCAGGAGGTCAAGGTTACAGCAAGCAATGATGGTGCCACTGAGCTCCAGCCTGGCTAACAGAGCAAGACTCTGTCTCAAAATATAAAAATAAAATAAAAAATAAATAAAATAAAAATAGGCACAAGAAAGTAATGGCCCTGAAAGACTTCATAGAACAAACGTTCTTACCTTCTTCTACTTAATGCTCATCCTATTCCCAGAGATCAAGGTGTTTGGATTAGCAAGGGCTTCTTCTTGCCATATTTATAAACCCTAACACTTCACTTTCTGGCCTTTGATTAACACTCTCCATTTACAATGGGAGCTCATGCTTTTCTCAGCTGGCTAAGTGCCCCAGAGGTAAACTGTTACCTCTCTCTAGTCCATCTGTCTGTGGCCCAAATGCATTCTCCAGGAGACTCTATAGCTAGTCTTTTTTTGGCAAAGAGCCTTGAAAGCATTTTCTCTCCATTCTACAAATTGCTCGTCCCAGGAGAGAAGGAAAATTGAATGGCACCCCAAACAGCTTATATTTGTATTTTTCTGGACATCTTTAAAGGGTGCTTGGTGCTTGGGAAAGAATTGATCTCTTGTTTTATGAAGATAAATGCTTTTTGGCTTTATAGGAAGGTTCATTCTGCTTATTTACAGTCTCAATGAATGAAGTGCTGGTCCCTGAGACTACCTTGATAATTTATAAGATGTGACTATGGACACACCAGCAGAATATAAAATGGCGGGAGAGCTAAGGGTTTAATGACATGAGCACAGGTTTGTCTCAGACTCCCTAATGTCTAGGGAAGCAGTCCTCAGACTTGACCAGCCTGCACCCCACGGAAAGGAAAAGTAGGACCTTCAGGCTAGATTCTCATATGGGAAGAGAGCAGCTATGCTAATGTTAGTTTAACTAATTTGTGTCAGTTACAGATCAGTTCCTTCAGGATTAGGTTCCTCTTGAGAGAATATGTTGCTATAAAATCATCTTGCAATTGGGTATCCCATGAGATGTTCTAGAAAGCATCACTAACTCAGGCTTACTAAGCATGAGTGATGAGAGGACATGGGGTACATGTGTGAAAACAGAACCTACAAGGAATGCCTTTGTCGGGACTCAGAGAATTAATGGTACTGACAGAGATGCGAGAGGGGTTTTTAGCAGCACACATATATGCATGCTCAAAAATTTAATCCCCACAGCATCTCCATGAGGTTGGAGTTAGCCGCTCTGAGCCTTGACATACATATCTGTAAAATGGGAATAAGCCACTAACCATGGTCACATATTAATAACTAATAAGTGGTGAGACGAGCTCCATGTCTTATGTAGTATTCATATATATGTGTCTCATCTACTCTTCACATTTTTTCTTTAATCCAGGAAAGTGTTTGCTCCAGGCACAATTGCAAGTCTGTATAGATCTTACAATTACAGCATCCTTTCCTGACTCCCTGACCCCTGCTGGAAGCCTTATCTAGGGACTTCATTCTCCCCATAGTCTTTCTCTCAAGTATGTTCATAATTTTTAATAAGGTAGCAGCCTTCCCATAAATATTTTCATATCAGCCAGAAACTGTCACAGGCTGAACAAATTCATGCCCTAACAACACCATTCTGGATAATAAAGGATTTTACCAAATATGGGAAGAATATATTCAGGTTGAGAGAGAAAATAGCTTTCCCAAGAGTGAGGACCAAAGTAGTTTCCAAACTCTCTATAAATTAATAATAAGATAGAACTATAACATCAGTTTATATAAGATAAATTGGTATACGACAAACTGCTTATCTACAAAGAGCTGTGATTATTCACTAAAAAGAAGTGGCTTGTCTTGGTTGGGAAAATCCCCCAGTTGGGAGTTTCACAGACCTGAGATTGTTTTCATTTCCTGGTTTCCTGGTCTTGGGCTGATTATTTAGCTTTTCTTAACCTCAGTTTCTTTATTTGCCACGTTGCAATAATGACACCTAGATTTTCGGGTTGTGGTAAGCATTAAGTGAGGGAATGGGTGTGCAGCTCTCACCATAGTGCTTAAAACAAAATGAAAGTAGCCAGCATTATTGTTAGAATAAGTATGGAAAAAAGACTTTCAGACTTAGAAGTCATAAAACCACTTTTCTCTAAATGTACATTTTGGCTCAGATGATTTCCTTGTTCTCTCTCTCTCTCTCTCTGTCTCTCTCTCATTTCAATATATTCCCTATCTTCCTAGGTAAGAACAATGCAAATTTACAAATTCCAGTTTATAGTTTTCTAAAAAGCTCAAATTCCCAAATTTCTAGGAAGGAACTGAGGAACACAAATCAAACAAGATTCCCAGAGACACACCTGGGTCTCTCAACTTTGAACTTGATGGTAAAGATAAAGATGGCAATGCATGTCTCTCCTTTATTCCTAGAACTCACCTTAGCCACAAAATTTGCCTTTGGACTTTTCATCAGAGCAGGCGCCACCAGATCCACAAAACAGATTTTGGTTAAGGGAAGTGGTCCAAAGTAAAAAATAACATGAACTTTTCTCAGCAAAAGTCTTTTTTTGTACAGAAGAGCCAAGCGTTTTCCTCAGTGTGCGGTACAGAGGAGGCCCAGGTTCTGAATCCCTAATGATCTCTTCAATGCTGTTTTTCCCTTTTGTGTTTTTCAGGTACTCTCCCCTGGGTATCGCCTGCCTGATCTGTGGAAAGATCATTGCAATCAAGGACTTAGAAGTGGTTGCTAGGCAACTGGGGATGTACATGGTAACAGTGATCATAGGCCTCATCATCCACGGGGGCATCTTTCTCCCCTTGATTTACTTTGTAGTGACCAGGAAAAACCCCTTCTCCTTTTTTGCTGGCATTTTCCAAGCTTGGATCACTGCCCTGGGCACCGCTTCCAGGTAGAGAACAAAAGAAATCACCTTTCTCTTTGCTCACTCTTTTGCCCTCTTTGCCATTTCTCATTTCTCAAAACCCTCCCATCACAAAGTTCAATAAGAACACTTGGCACACATTACTAAGATCTTTTGGAAAAGGCGAATGATTTGAATTTTTGTCTCCTTCTAGGAACTTCTGAGCCTTCTGGTGAACATTTTTGCTGGTTTGCAACTATATTGGAAATACGATCTCACATTAAATTTTTCAGATAAATGCATGCTATTTGTTTGCATGCCTAATTTGCCACTTAAATCATTAGTTTAGTTTTAGATGTTTTCTAAAGGGAGTGTAACAGGATATTTTTCAATAAACATTTCACCTGTGATTTGGAAAATGCTATCACAAAATATTACTCTTTGAAGATTTTGGTAAATACATTTTCAAAAGTAGGAGAAGCAGCTTTTACAAAGTAAATGGTATGTTAGGTGAGACTTTTTCTAACAAAATTCGGCCAAGTCTTTGACCTCGACACGAACCTCTAATGGATTATTTTTCCCCAGAGTTAACTTGGCATTGATGAAGAATCAGTTCCCCCTTTGTTACTTAGTTCCAGTACCTAGAAAGCCAAAGAGGACCCCAGAGATATGTAGAGAAAAATCATTTTTTGGACTATCATCTTGGACTGAATCTAACAAAAACAAACCAAAAAATGAACAAGAAGAAATACATAAGAAACGTCTTACAATTAGGCTGGGCGCAGTAGCTCATGCTTGTAATCCCAGCACTTTGGGAGGCCTCGGCAGGCGGATCACTTGAAGTCAGGAGTTCGAGGCCAGCCTGGCTAACATGGTGAAACCCTGTCTCTACTAAAAATACAAAAATTAGCCAGGTGCGGTGGGGGGCGCCTATAATCCCAGCTATTCGGTAGTCTGTGGCAGGAGAATTGCTTGAACCTAGGAGGCAGAGGTTGCAGTGAGCTGAGATTGCATCACTGCACTCTAGTCTGGGTGACAAAGTGAGGCTCCATCTGAAAAAAAAAAAGAAAGAAAGAAAGAAATGCCTTACAATTGAGAATTTTTAAGACTAGTGTTTTACTTTCAGCTTGCAATCATTGTTTTATTTCTGCACATATGTCCTTGGGTCACAAAACTAAGACTGAATCATAAAACAGGTGGCAGGGAGGCAAGCAAATTCTGAAACCCATAGCTCATCATTCAGGTCCTTGTTGCAGAACCTGTGCCCATGCAATGCTAGGGAGGTGCCACTGCATGACGCAGCAGGGCCTGTTGCTCCACGGCTACTGAGCAGTCAGTCAGGTTTCCCTTAAGCGACCTAACAGACCAATAATGCCAACCACCTGGGAAGCCAAATAAAACTTCCATCTTGCAAATCAATGAGGATTCAGTGCTAGTAGAAAATGGAGTTTCAGACAAAGCTGGAATATATACAATCTTAAGGGTCTAGATTCTTTACCCAGTTTCCGAAGATGAAGGAAAACACTTCAAAATTTCCTTCTTGATTTATAAATTTTCCATGACTAAGTATCTCTATCCATACAGATCTTCACTTGAAGAAAAAGAGAAAAAAAAAAAAACCCAACCTGGTTTAATTTTATTTTTGTTTTCTGGTTATAAGCCTGGTATCTCATACTTTATCTCATACCAGGCTCATAACCAGAAAACAAAAATAAAATAAAATTTCTGCAGGCTCAATGTGAAAAAGTTCAGGCAGTGAATACAATTTTGAAGAAGAAAATGAGCTTTGCCAATTATTCTATCACCCAGTGATAACTGGTCATAACCTTTTAATTAGTCTTTAGTTATATATCTTTCAAGTTCTTACTATGTATGTATATATTGTTTTATAAATAGTTATTTTTTTACTGGTCAACGTATCATAAAAGTTGTATCTATTGCAATAGACTTTACTACCATTTTTTAAACTGCATAATAATGCACTGTATGTACTACAATGCAAACCCCACCCTGTCCTAGCCACAGTGATGTATATTTAAGGCATGTCTATTAAACAGGGCTGTGACAAACATCCTTACAAATACATCTCTGCAAGGTTGTATGATGATCCCCTCAGGATAAGTGGAATTTCAGAGTCAAATGGTATGCACATTGACAGTTTTGAAGCACATTACCAGATTGCTATTCAGAAAAATGTATTATTTTATGTTCCCATTAACTGGGGTTTGAGGGTGTGCCCATCCCTGCTTGCTTACCAGCTCTGGATATTGCCAGTCACTTTAATGCTTTCCAGTCCTATTGGGTGAAAAGTAATCTCATGGGATATGCATATCTTTACTTCTCCTTCCCCTCCCCTTTCGCCTGCCTTGTGAATTGTTCATGAACTTGGTCATTTTCCTGTTGAGGTATTCGTCCCTTCCTGATTGATTTTCAAGCTCTCTTTTTGTATAAGAATATTAGCTCATGTGTCACAAGTTGCAAATAATCCTCCTCTTCACTTGACATTTGTCTTAAAAATTTACTGTGCTTTTTGCCTCTAGAAGTTTTAAATTTGTACTTAGTCAAAGCTATCAATACTTTTCTTTAGAATTTAGAATTTAGATTTTGCTTAGGAATAGCTTCTCCAAGTTAATACAATATGACTTTTTATTTTCTTCCAATACCTTTATGGTTTAGATCTTTCAACTATTTCAAAAATATTAGTATTATTTTCTTTTGAATGACTAGAACATTATTTCAGTAACTTTATAAGACAAGGTGAATCTTAAGGGGATTTGCATGGCCCAAATTTGTATTTAAATCAGAGACAAATGCTCAGATTATCCAACCAAGGCTGCTAATATTAGACCAATTTCTTCCCCTAACTCTGTATTTCATTTGAAAAAAAAAAAGTGGTTTTAATCTTTAGTTAAAATGTGGTTTTTGCCTGGATGTGGAATTTCTTTTTTTAAAAGGCCATGTGGCGTGAGTCATGTACCGAGAATTAACTGAAGGTTTCTTTGCCATCATGGTCACAGAGAAGAAAAAAAAAAATGTAAAACCCAGGGACAGCCCACAAAATATCCTTCCTGCCTCCTCGGCCCTTGTACAGAATAAAGACGTTGAGGGTAGTTGAACATCTTTTCTCAATGGTTCCAGAGGCTGGTGTCAGGGAGGACAGAGGGAGTGGGGTGGCCTGAGACTGACCTGTCTTCAGCCCTCCAACTTCAGTGCAGTCTGTTAAAACTAATACTTAAAAAACAAAAGAAGCATTTCAAATATCTGACAGTTATTATTAGCAACATTTGAAGGCTGTCATATGGCCATTGAGGCAGGAACCAAAAAAGCAATGTCAGCATGTCAGCCCATCCACACAGGAAAGCTTGAAATTAAAATTCTCAAGTCCTAGTTTGATTGGGTGGGTGGGTTTTTTAAGACAAAAAGCCTGTCCAGTAGAGAAATAGAGGATATTTTTATACTTACCAATCATTTTTCCCAGTCGACTTAATTGTCCAAAGACCATTTGATGACATTTTGGAAAAATAAATGCAATAATAAACATAAATGTATGCCAGCAATTCCTAGTTTGATTGGGTGGGTGGGTTTTTTAAGACAAAAAGCCTGTCCAGTAGAGAAATAGAGGATATTTTTATACTTACCAATCATTTTTCCCAGTCGACTTAATTGTCCAAAGACCATTTGATGACATTTTGGAAAAATGAATGCAATAATAAACATAAATGTATGCCAGCAATTCCAGAAGTATCCTTAGATTTGAGAATGCTTGCAATCGAGAATCCTGGCCACCAACCACAACTGAGCAGTCATCTCATACCAGTCCTGGTGTCCTGGCAACCCTTCGAAAGGGCCCAGGAAAGGGTGGGGTAAGAGGAAGAAAGGGACACTGACTTCTCATTAAGATAGCAAGCTAGGTCTGATGCCATCCCCTGCATGCAAATGAGGCCAGGCTCCAACTTTGCCCTGGGTTTGCAAGATTTTAGTTATGAGATGTCCCCCAACAAACAATTCTTCTTCCTACCCCAGACCAAGAAGGAGGCATGAGACAGACCCCTGACTTGAAATCACAAAGAATGTTCTGGTAAGAGAAATCTGGCTCTCCTAAGGTTGTTTTAGGAGCTCGTGGGCCAGTGGTTTGATAAGATGCACATCTCGCATCCCTAGTTTTAGGGCTTCTGATTCGTTGGTTCTGGATAGGCCCTGGAATCTTCATTTCATTTAGCTTCCCTGGAGCAGATGGTCTTCTCCCACTCTTTGAGAAACTAAGACCTCTACAGGGATCTATGTCCAGTTTGGTCACTAATTCTGACCAGTAGAAGGAGGAAACTTTGACAAAAGCTGTAAGTGCAAGAGAGAAAACACCTCCAAATGTTATCTGCATTGCAGGTTTTCTAATTCACTTTGCTAAAGTTTGAATAGAAAAAAATCAAGAGGATGGACCATGAAGCACTTCCATGGCAGTTTGAGTGTTCTGCATTGCTTTCTACATTACTTAAACTTTGCAGCAAATCCACTCACCCTCCCAGGCACTTCTATCCACATGGAAATAATATTCTGGCCTTTAGCAACCCTTACTGTTTATTGGTCTCCAATTTTGAAGACATATGAACGTGTCAGGAATTCTGGCCTTCGAGGCTTGGTCATGTGGTCACGAATCCACATCCCAGGCCTGGGAGGAGTGGGGGTGAAGTCCCTTCATATTTAGTCTTTGATTTGCTAATGAGCACATGCTTTCCTGCTCCATGTCATTGAAGTGACTGTAGAATTGGCCGATGAGCATATATCAGGGTGTTGGACTATCTGTGAGGTTCCCCAGTGAATTGCTTGAAGCTCAGGTTCATGCTGAAGTGTGCTGGACATGTTTGTTGTTATGGAAATTAGCAAGTCCAGCTCAGGACAATTTCCCAGGGCTAAATGCAATCCATTCAGTCATTTTATCGGAAACAGCATTTCTAGCATGAAATTATGGGTTATTCAAAAATTCCTCATCCCATTTTGCTGTTGATAGCTGATTCTTTTCTGACATAGCTGGCTTTTGTTTTTTTTTTTTTGCAACCCAATTAATATGGGCAATCAGATGCACTTCAATATCGAATCCAAGGTGGAAACAGTGGCCAAAAGAAAAAATCTTCAAGCTCTGAGTATATCTCCAAAACCAGAACCAATGAAAATATTTTGCTGCCTATTAGTGTCTTAATAAGATTGAATTTGAGCCTCCAACTCACGAGTTTTTAATCTGGCTCCAGATACTGCTTTTTTGCATGTCACATTGCTTGATTGACACAAAACAAGAAAAACTAAGGATGCAGTGGCATTCCAGTTTATGCATTGTCCTGCTTCTCTAAAGTGGACATAACCCTGTCTCTCTCTTTCTCTTTGTTCTCAGTGCTGGAACTTTGCCTGTCACCTTTCGTTGCCTGGAAGAAAATCTGGGGATTGATAAGCGTGTGACTAGATTCGTCCTTCCTGTTGGAGCAACCATTAACATGGATGGTACAGCCCTTTATGAAGCGGTAGCCGCCATCTTTATAGCCCAAATGAATGGTGTTGTCCTGGATGGAGGACAGATTGTGACTGTAAGGTGAGAAGGGTGGGGTAAAACACAAAACAACCTCTACCCTGTTTCCCCTCCACACTAACTCCATGTGACAGAGGCCACTTGAATTTCATTTCTGCTGGTGGAAGACAATGAAGGTAATAAAAAAAGAGAAACTATTGGCAGCCTTCAAAAGGAAAAGATTGTGACAAGAAAGAAGACTCTTATTAATACCTCCTGTTTGTATTGCACATGTCAACTTGCTTTAGAAATTGGATATTATTTGATTTTTAGCAATCCTGTGATGGAAGCAGGGTAATTTCTTTGCCCATTTAATAGACAAAGAAACTCAGGCACCAAGAGGCATGGTAGTTTGTCCATGGCTACAGCATGGCTGTAAGTGAGGCCAACATCAGTAATGATTTGGCAGGACTGTAACTGAGGCCAACATCAGCTGACTCTGGATCCAATTTTTGTTTCACTGAAATATGCTCCCTTCAATATTCCATCACCAGAGGGTAATGGCAGAAATTACAAAATACTGGAAGAGATTCCTCAATATGACATATAAGATTTTATTACAAATAAATAGCACATAGTTTTGTTTTTACTAAAGCTATTTTTATTTAAATGTATTCATCATTTTAAAAATTCAGAAAGAACATTTTCCTAAGAGATTGTTAAAAATGCATTGCCTCACCATAAACTTAAAGATCACACCTACTAGCCAAGCCAACACTCTGTTTCTTGCTTATAGGTTAAGTCATTGAAAATATCAGTCTTCAGCCCATTCAATGTTATATTGACATTACAGCATGAAATAAAGCTTTTTGCAATCATCTTTTTAATATTATCACTCCCAACCCATCTAAATGCTTCAATTAAGCCAGAAGCCAATTTCTGCCTTATGTCATATCCCTACTCTCAGTCTCAATTTCCTCATCTATAAATAAGGAAGGTATTCATAATTTGGGGCTAAAAGTTGGTAGTTCATGGATGGACTCCCAGCCCAGAGTGTTGCTTTGTTTGCCTTGAAATATATTGTAAAAGATTAGAATTTCATCCTCTTATGAGACAGCTGCCCTTCAGTTTCCCACAGTCTCCCCTGCTCCCTATTACTTATGCCTGGCCTGCTGCACCTGTCACCACAGCTTAGCCCTTTAAGACAACGGAGTTTGTCAATCTTGGACTCAACAATTTATAAGTTTTATTTCCCCTCTCAGATTCTATGTGATCAGAAAACATAGGGAGTAAGTGGGTAACATTCTGTGTGACAGATGTACTTGTAGTAGAAAGAGAATTCCAGATATTAGAACAGCCAAGGCCTGGGTGATTCACTTTAGGAAATGAATGAGGTAGACACTGGAATACACTTTCATCCTCCATGATGATAATCACTCCACTCTTTGGTTCCTCTGAGATGGCGGACTCTTTCCATACATTGCTTTGAACATGACCAGCAGTCCTGAAGAGAAGGAATAGTCATTATTCCCATTTTACAGAGGAGGCATGTGAGGCTCAAAGAAATTATCTGACAAACCTAGGTCTCATGGCTATGGGTGCCAGAGGCACAAGTCAAATTTCTATTCCACAGTTTACCTCTTCCAACCACAGGTCATTTCTTCTTTCTGACTGTGACTCAAAAAAAGACATTAGAATAGTGTTTTTATTGACTTTTTCCATTGGGCATTAGAAGGGGCAATAGTTTTTGGGTTCAGGCTAAGGCACTAGCCTCTTTCTCCCACTTCAAACCCCGGGCAGCACTGTCAATCTCTATATTAGAAACTTTGGTAATAATCTGGTGTCTGCTTGGTTCATGTTATTCAACAGCCCATTCTCTGGTAGGCCTTTAGTGGGCTAAGGCCATTTTAGGAGATCTCTCCTAAGAGGCAGTGTTCATTTGGGTCTGATGTCTCTACATGCTCAGGCTTTTTAAAAGTCCAAGCTCAGGGACCACCCAGTGTCTGTAGCAGTGCTGGAAATTTGCTCTAATCATGTCCTCTATGTGTTCTAGGGGCTGATATTGCCATGGAATGGCCACTTCAGAGCCTTTGCTTGATCTATCTAGCTCTGAGGTATTCAACCAGCTCAAGGACATTTTTGTTAAAACACAGCTTTCTCCTCTCTCCTTCTAACCATTCCAGAAGATTTAGTGAATATCCCATATGCATCTGAGTTCACTTTAGCAACTCAGTCAGCAAATAGAGAAAAGAAAAAATTCACCATGTTTAATACACACACACACACACACACACACAATATGAAAACATGAAATAACAATCACATTTATTTAATCAGCTAGAATGTATCATCTGAAATGTCTCCCAGTGGTTCTCTTGCTAAATTATCTCACCTTATACATAGATAAGGAAACAGAGGCTCAGAGAATAGATCACACACAGCCGTCTAGAGGAACAACTATAATTTAAGTTTCCAAATGCTGGCATATGCTTCCATTTATTTAACTTGTGATCCTAGAAACAGCCCTACAAAGTAGATATTGGGTTCTATATTTTACAGATGGAGAAAATGAGGCACAGTAAGTTGAGGTAACTGGGCCAGAATCATGCTGTTTGTAACAGGCAGAAATGGGATTTGAACCCAGGCCACCTTACTCTGGGGTTTGTGTTTTTAACCATTACACACACTGCCTCCACTATACTATACTGTTGGGTTGCAAAATAATAATTTATATATATATATATATATATATAATAAAATCTTCACAACCACCCTATGAATTATATACTATAAGGGAGCCTCAGTTTCCTCATCTGCGTAATGGGAACAATAACAAATTCTAGGGTGGCTGAGAACATGGTGCCTGGCTTATAGTCTCTTATGAGTATGAGCCAGGCACCAGTCAATAAATGTTAGCTTCTATTATTATTATTGATGTCTAATAAAATACACAATACTCCTAGAATATTAAAGAAAAATGTGGCTGTGACATCATGAGTACCATGATGTTACTGACAATGGAAAATATACTTCAGGTCAGAAGATCAAGCCTTTCAAAATTATGTCCTAACAGATATCACGAGACTACTAACCTCCCTTGCTTTAAAACTCAAAGATGAAAAGGGCTTCTTAAGCAAGTCTTTTGCCAAGCAAAGGTAATTTCTGGTATCTCGACTCTTGGTCTTGATGGTAACCATATTTTCCATTAAGTTCCCACTATTAGATGGGAACTTACAGATGGGAGAATGGACCAGTGAGTGATTGAATTTGTGCTTAAATTCTATAAATTTATCTACACAGGGTTTGTTTTATATTAACTGATACTACTGAGCATTTTCACTTGACAAAAGATGAGTTTGACCATATGCATTTAAATCTCTGGCCCCTGGGTGGGTTCAGTCAAATCCTCCTAAATTGTAGACACCACAAGGGCTACCTCTGGGGCACCCACCACGGGTGTATATACTTCATGCCTGCAGTTTGTTTGGAGGAAAATAGCCAAATCTATCTTCAGGCTGCGCTTCCAAGTAAAATTTTCATTTCTCTCCTTTCACTGCATGTAGGAAAATAGTGATTAGAAATTCTTAGCATTTTTATTAATTCATAGAATTTTCAGTGTAGGGAGGGATCAAGGCCATCAAGGACAAGTGTGGCATTGAAATCAAGCAGACCAGTGTTCAAATCCCAGCAGACCATGTTCAAGCTGTGTGACCTAAGTTTCTCCACCCATCCTATCTGTGTTTTCCTCACGGTGAAAGCAGGTGTTACCATATATGTCCCTTGCAGGGTTACTGTGAGGTTCTGCTCTGATATTGTGTGTCTAGTATCTTAACAGCTTCCAGGAACCCTAGAGAAGTGAGCCAGGGGAGTGGAAGGCCAGGCAAAGCAGAAGGCAATGAGGGATGCAGGGAAAATCACTGCCCAAGAAGCTCTTGCAGGGCTTAGAATTCCACACACAGAGACAGTGCCTACCGGAGGGTGAGGGTATTATTAGGGACAAGAGGGGAAAGCAACTTCCAGGAAGAATTATCTTTCTAAGACTTTGTCTCACACAACCAAAGGATAACCAGATAATGTTAATGTTAACCACAGTGCAAAGGGATGTGCAAGAGTGACTCAGAGCAACTGATGCTGTGTATAAAACAGTCAAGGTCAAGACTGTTGGAACTTGGGGAGTTCCCCTTCCCTGGTGTTCTGTCTGTTTGGGAAACAGTTGAGAATTCCCATCTTCCAGCTTTCAGGGCTTTAGGGAAGTTTTCATTGCAAAGCAGCCTGGTCCTGTCCAGATTTCTTGATAAGAAAAACAATTCACATTCACTGGGCATGGTGGGGGTGGGGGAGTTGCAATGTGCCCAGCCTCTTGTAAGTGCATTTTAATTTATTAGCTCCTGAAAGCTTCTGACCACCCCATGAGAGAGATACCATTACTATCTCCTTTTTACAGATGAGGAAGTCAAGGCACAGGGAGGTTAAGTTGCCTGTAGTCATGTGGTTAAGTGGCAGAGCTGGAATTTGAACTCAGGTTGTTCAACTGCAGAACTTTCACGGCTGAGCACTCCACACTGTACCTCCTGTGACCCAGATGGATTCAAGGAAATTGGAGTGCTCTGAGCCTTGACACCATGGACGGGGAGGGGAAGGGTGTGGTTGGGGGGTCTGTAGATCACACCCAGGGCAAGTGTCTATGCAAGGATGGGCCTAAACCTGGGAATGATGGCAATAGGGGAAAAAACAGCTCAAACCACAGGCTCTCCAGGGGCCTTAATCTTCCAAACGTAAGATTAGGTATATTCAGCAATAAGACCCCAGGATTCTGTGCTTGGTCAACTGATGGCCTGGATTTAGTTGAAACAATTTGAGAGGCTGCCTCTCAGCTCATAAAATTTCTAGTATTTTATAACTACAAAGAAAGCAGTCCCCCTTACCTTTTGGCACCCACAAAAACAACTTGGGAATCCATATTTCCAAAGTACTCTTGGATATTTTGATATGACATTTTGATATGACAGCTTTGTACAAATGGCATCTAGAAAAGAGGAAAAAGAGTCACTGCCCTTTGCCAGACCACAGAGACTCCCTGGTGTCAGGACAGGGCACTTGAACTCCAGATTAACCCTCTCCCAGAGACAAACTTCAAAATGGTGCTGGGTGTGGCCCTGGCATTGCTTGGAAAGAACTGATGAGATGCTTCAGAAAGAAAGCCTTCCTTTCTTTCATTATCATTTCTTGGCATCCCCTTTCTGAATAATGTATTTTCCAGCCCATGGTGAGGCATCCAGGCGCCTGACGCTTAGTGTCATTTGGAATCTGTTGATTTGTTTCCCTGATGTCCAACTCAGTTGGGTCTGGATATTTGCTATTCTGAGTTCTCATGTTAACCTTGGCAATGGCCTTCTTAGACCCTTGCCACATAGTCCAAAAGCCTCTGGTGCTCACAGAGACATAAAAGCGTAAGCAGAAATGAATGCAGTTGTGTTCCCATGGGAGGATTAAGGGTGATTTGTTTTTATCTTTAATATTTCCTTGCCTGCTTTTAGAGCCACGCTTGCCTTATTTGAGCCCTGTGATATATTAGACTAACCGGATAGCATCATGGGAATAAGGCTCCAGTCCATGAATTTATAAGCTTACATCATAGTTGAGCAGTACCCAAATAGGCCTTAATCCTTAATTCCTTGGTCTTAGTACTTTAGATTTCTCTATTCCTTGGTGGAGAGTATGGGGTGGGGGTTGGGGGATGAATTTTATGGCTGCAGGAAAATTAGAGCTTAAAATTGCCAGGGTTGGTTTTGCTAAGATTCTTTCCATTTCCATGACCTGAACTTCTCTGTTCTCATAGCCTCACAGCCACCCTGGCAAGCGTCGGCGCGGCCAGTATCCCCAGTGCCGGGCTGGTCACCATGCTCCTCATTCTGACAGCCGTGGGCCTGCCAACAGAGGACATCAGCCTGCTGGTGGCTGTGGACTGGCTGCTGTAAGTGTCTGTGGATGGGGTTCTGCTGGGACTGTGAGTACTGCCTCCTAGGGATGCACAGGTGGCAAGGTTGCAACCAAGATCTTAGCTAATCCCCATGGCAACTCCCTCACTCTTCCTTCCTCCTTCCCGCTCACATTTACTGAGGACCTATTTGAGAACCAAAGAAGAAAAAGATGAAATATTTGAAGGCGTCACAGTCTAGTGGAGGAATCAGAGAGATTATGACACAAGGTTAAAAGTACAGTAATAAGGAACCAGCTACTGATGCATTCAAAGAATCTCAGAACATTATATTGAATGAATAGAGCCAGAAACAAAGGAGTATGTACTGTATGATTCCATTTATATGAAGCTCTAAGAAAAGACGATGTACCACATATCAATAGAAAGAGATCAGTTGGGGCTGGGTGCGGTGGCTCATGCCTGTAATCCCAGCACTTGTGGAGGCCGAGGCAGGTGGATCATCTGAGGTTAGGAGTTCAAGACCAGCCTGGCCAACATGGTGAGACCCCATCTCTACTAAAAATACAAAAAATTAGCTGGGCGTGGTGGCATGTGCCTATAATCCCAACTACTCAAGAGGCGGAGGCAGGAGAATTGCTTAAACTCGGGAGGCGGAGGTCGCAGTGAGCTGAGACTGTGCCACTGCCCTCTAGCCTAGGGGACAGAGTGCGACTCTGCCTAAGAAAAAAAAAGAAAAAAGAAAGAGATTAGTGGTTTCTTGGGCCAGGTATAGGGGGATAGAGATTAACTGGGAAGGAACACAAGGAAACCTTTGGGAGTGACAGAAATGTTCCATATGCACAGGTATGCACAGGTGTCTACATTTGTCAAAACTCTTCAAAACACACACTTAAAATGGGTACGTTTTGTTGTATGTAAATTATGCTTCAGTAAAGTGATTAAAACACAGCACACACATAAAAGCATAGTGATAGAGAGAGGCCTTCATCCCAGTCAAGAATGGAAGGACAGAGCGGAGAATATCAAGAAACATGAAAGTGGTTACTGAATTTGAGT
Source organism: Homo sapiens (assembly GCF_000001405.40). Taxonomy (NCBI): domain Eukaryota; kingdom Metazoa; phylum Chordata; class Mammalia; order Primates; family Hominidae; genus Homo; species Homo sapiens. The sequence continues at coordinate 35,279,843 of NC_000011.10, read as the reverse complement.
GTTCACTAGGTTCCAGCTACTAGACTGAGCACTTTACATCTTCCTCTTTAACAACCTTGAAAGTTAAATGTTATTATTCCCACTTTATAGATGAGGACACTGAGGTTTATAGAGGTAAAGAGACTTAGAAATGGACAGATATTCGACCCTAGGTCAGGCTGCCTCTGGAGCCTGACAAATTCTTGTTTATGGTCACATTCAAGCTTCTAAAGGCAGTGGTAGCTGAGCTGAATCATAACCAATAGGTAAAAGTTTCTCAGGTGTATGTAGGGAGACGGGGAGACAGGACATTCCAGTCAAGGCCAGCCTGCACAAAGGCACTGAGGCTACCAGCAGTGTGAGGATGTACAAGTGGTCTGGTACTCTTGGAGGCAGGGCGTGGTGAAAGGTGAGCAAGACGGACATCCTCAAAGGCCATGCAGAGAAACTTGAACTTGACCATGTATGGTAGTTCAGCTACCTTTCCCAGTGAAGGACATTTTCCTCATGTAGAATACTCACTGCCCATTCACAAAGGTGGGAAAGTCTAACCAGATGGTCTTCGACAAGGGGGTTGGAATGGATCCCCTCTAAGTGCCCACTTGGGCTTGGATGTTCTGTGAGATGTAATCTGATGCCTCCTGTCCAGCACTGGAGTTAAATGATAGGGCCTCCGGCAATGCCAGTCTTCAATGTCAGAGGCACAGAGTGACAAGTGCTGGCCCAGAGTCCCAAGGCCAAAGTGCCCACACTTATTTTTCAAACTGCCTGACTTGCCAGTAGCAAATTTTCTGACATTTATTGGCATTGATTTTAAGAGCCAGAAACCACATTTTTCTTTTTTTTCAGATGGAGTCTTGCTCTGTTGCCCAGGATGGAGTGCAGTGGTGCGATCTTGGCTCACTGCAACCTCTGCCTCCTGGGTTCAAGCATTTCTCCGGCCTCAGCCTCCTAAGTAGCTGGGACTACAGGCATGTGCCACCACACCCGGCTAATTTTTGTATTTTTAGTAGAGACAGGGTTTCACTATGTTGGTCAGGCTGGTCTCAAACTCCTGACCTCAAGTGATCGGCCCACCTCAGCCTCCCACAGTGCTGAGATTACACGGGTGAGCCACTGTGCCCAGCCTCAGAAGCCACATTTTGTGGACTTGAGTCTGTTTCTGCTTCCCACTCCCACCCTTCCAAAGAGAGGAAAATGCAAGTGGCCGAAGGGAGGAAGGACAGCTGGGAAGGCTAGAAAGAAGCCTGACTTCTCCATAAGATGTGCCTGCTGTTGGTGCAGACAACAGGGCTTAGGTTAGAAATAAGAAGTGCCCAGCACTTTGGGAGGCTGAAGCGGGCAGATCACCTGAGGTCGGGAGTTCAAGACCAGCCTGAACAACATGGAGAAACCCCGTCTCTACCAAAAATGCAAAAATAATTAGCCAGGTGTGGTGGCATATGCCCGTAATCCCAGCTACTTGGGAGGCTAAGGCAGGAGAATCACTTGAACCTGGGAGGCGGAGGTTGCAGTGAGCTGAGATCGTGCCATTGCACTCCAGCCTGGGCAACAAGAGTGAAACTCCATCTAAAAAAAAAAAAAAAAAAAACAAAAAAAAACAGAAGTAAGAAGTGGCTCCCTGAACAGAATCAGTTCAACTTGGGAGGGCTGCAAGGAAGGCCATAGATTTTCCTGATTGGCTCCTTCATCATCAGAAAATGCTCAGGAAATACCTTTAGCGGAAGGTGACAAGCAAACAAAATAGCCTCATCTCTGTCTCTGCCAGTCTCTCAGGTGGTGGTAGTGGCGTCCCTACCTGCTAGCTTGGTTATTCTCTGTGTCCTATATTGGCCCCAAGGGACAGCCTTTCTCATGACATCTGTTCAGACAAGGCAGCTGAGAGTCAATGGTGGTGTATGGGTGAGAAGGATTGTGAGAGAAGGGGATGAAGGATACAAAGGAATGGGGTAGGCCATGGATGGAAGGGGGACAAAAGGGAAATAAAGACATTGGCAGTGGTCTAGAGACAGAGCAAATAGTAGCAGCTCAATAAATGTGAGCTACTCTTAACCACATAGTTGCTGTGTGATAATTGGGTCCATCCACATGAAAAGAAAGACGAAGGAAGCCATTTAAGTTCTGCTGGCTTTCCCCATGACTTGTTGCTTACTTAAACCCTTGACTCTTTGCCTCTCAAGTCTTTTCAATGCTTGTGGTCATTGAGGGTCCCTCGCCTGCTGTGACAATATTGCCTCATTTTTTTCTTGGGCTTATTTCCAAGGCTTTAAACCACCATTAGAAATTCATCTTTTTAAAAAATATTATTATAGAGGCTGCCCCCCATTATAATACAAATGCCTTTGAGTGGAAAAAAATGCACTAATATGATCAGGAGTGAGGAAAAGGGGTGATATTTGGTGGGTACTGCAATGTCTTTACATCTGTCTCCATTTAATCCTTAAGGTGCCCTATGCTGTATTTCCAGATGAGAAAACTGGGAATCAGAAGGGTTGAGTCTTTTGCCTGATGCACAGCAGAGCTTGTATGGCCAGGTCAGGACACTTCACCCAACTCCACACAGCCTCCTAATTTGTACTAAGTGTTCTAACAGTGGGGAGGAGGAGCAGAGAGGCCCAGAGTTGGAACGGTTGGAGAAGACACACTTATTAGGGCCACCCACTGGGCTATGGTTTGAATATTTGTCCAGTCCAAAACTCATGTTGACGTTTAATTGCCATTGTAACAATATTAAGAGGTGTGGCCTTTAAAAGGTGATTATATCGTGAAGGCTCCACCCTCATGAGTGGGGTTGGTGCATTATAAAAGGGTGAATTCAGCCCCTTCTTGCCCTCTCTTTGTCTTTCTGCCTTCTGCTATGTCATGATGCAGAAAGAAGGCCCTTACCAGATACCAGTTTCTTGATCTTGGATTTCCCAACCTCCAGAATTCTGAGGAAATAAATTTCTGTTCTATATAAATTACCCAATCTCAAGTATTTTGCTATAGCAGCACAGACTAAGACACACCTGATTCTGCATGCTAACCAGAGAAATATTTTTGACCTATTTTTTTCTTCTCTCAGCATGAAAATAAAACAAATAGGCTCAATGAGGACAAATGGGGTACAATCAAGGTCTTGGCCACCCTTAGAATTCAAGTCTTCCAGCCCCAGTGGGTCTGCCATTGTAGGTCCTGGTCCTTGGCAGTCACTTGTTTTCAAGCCTGTTGGATGTGAGTCACTTCATGAAACATTCAAAACCCTGCCTACTTCTGACCTAAATGTTAGCAAATGAAACAGGAGGGCTGGGCCCTCCCAGATCACCCCATGCAGGTGCTCACATGCTTACACTTGCAAAGGAAAGCAGAGCGTCCTAACTCCAGGGCTGAAGTGTGTCAGCAGAAGGGAGTTGGCTGAATTTTTTTTTTTTTTTAAAAAGGATGATACATTTGGATTAACTATGTTGATGAAATCATATAATAGAAAACCCCATCCTAGGCTGGAGCTGGGAAGAAAGGAGCAAATGAAGAGCTGTTGTCCAGTTCTGGGGCTCTGATCTCAAATGGAGGGAGGAGTGTGATCAAGGGAAAGAGAGTCTAAGAGGCAGGAGCCCTCAGTCTGAGCTCTGCACTTACTATCTAAAGGACCTTGGGCAAGTGACTTTCTGAGCCTCAGCTACATCATGTGTAAAATGGGGCAATAACATATCAGGTTGGAAGCAAGAGTCTAGGTTCAATGCCTTTGAGTGCCCTTCTAGTTTTAAGACCTAGAGTAGAATTCTGCTGGGGATGAATGTTTGTATACAAATAAGCACGAGCATTCCTTTTAAGAGGAAAAGAAAAAGGAAGGGTAGAGGATCCTGGGAAAATGTGTGTAGCTGTTTGTAGCTAGGTCAGATCTGCTTTGAATTAGTAATGGTGGCACATTCTTTCTCACCAGCAAGAGGAGTTCTGGAAACTAGCTCTTGGTTGTGAGCTCTGTGACTATTGGGTGCTCATTAGTGTGTAAGTGGTGGTGGGGGCTAAGATGAGATGGGGTGCAACTGGCCATTCCCTAGATAAGTAGTCTGTGGAGGAAAAGCAGAGAAAAAGAAAAGGGGGAAACTTCACCTCTTTAGCCAAGGTTTGTAAGCTTTCATAACTCTAGCAATTTTTCAATTTAAAACCAAACAAAGCCTACAGTGACATTTAATGTGTCACAGTGTTTGCCAACTGCTGGAGACCAGCCAGCCTCATTACTGCCCTCTAAGCCCTGGATGGTTTTCAACAGGCAGGCTTAGCTGCTCTGTAAATGTCATGGTGAAAACCAAGATTCTGGAGCCCTGAAAAATGCCGAGTCCCAGAGCACTGGATGGGTGGGACTGTTTAAAACCAGAACCTTCCCCTGGGTCCAGGAAGCCCTTTGCGTCAGGAGCCCTTGGCAGATATTTATAAGAGACCTTGCTGACACCCCAGTGTCTCTGAAGGAGGCAGGATGGAGTGGTAAATGGGAGCCAATACCAGGAAGAGGTAATAAATAACTGTGTCTGGCTACAGGTAGGAAAAGGAAAATCAAAATAAAGTGAAATCCGAGTGGACCTATGGCCTAATTCTCACATAAGACTCTGCTAGTGAGATCTTTTCTGGGCTCACATGTGCTAATTGGGGAATATAGTTGAGACGGCACTTAGAAGGAAGACCTCAAAGAGCCTCCACCCTCCAGGAGGGCTCTGAAGCTCCTCCCAACAGCATTCCTCTCTGGAGAGAATAGAGCATTCATTCTCAAACTCGAGCATGCACCAAAATCTCCCAGAGATATATCTGAGGTGGGGCTGGAGAATTGACATTTCTAGCAAGTTCCCAGGTGATTCTGATGATGCAATCTCCAGGGACTCTCCCTTCCAGAAGCAATGAACTAGAGACGGAGAAGGAAAACAGGAGTTTCTGATTGTGGGTATATGAGCACCTCTACTTTTTTTTGAGTTAACTCTTGACAGTTGATGCATCCTTTCAAAAAAATAGATTGAAAAGATACAGGATGCAAATAGCTAATACTTAGTGAGTGCTCCTTAAGTGTTAGATATTGTTCTAAGCACTTTACATGGGCTCGTTTGAAAGTCACAGCAGATTATGAAGCAACTAATAGTATTATCATTGTTTTACAGTTGAGAAAACAGGTTCAGAGAGAAGTAACTTATCCCAATTTAGTGGATATTAACTGGCTGAATTGGGGTTCAAACCCAGATGATCTAGATATCCTTGGGTGTTCCAAGCATGCTCATCTGAGTTCTGCTGTTTTAAAAATTTGAGACACACACATGCACATGCACACACACACACACACAAACTTAACTAACTGACCCTCCACTCATGGCTGGTGGAAAACAAAACTAATTCCTACGTTAACCTTTTCTTTGAAGATTTTAGGGGCTTATGTCTATCTTAGTCTTTTGCTTTGATTTCCCACTTCCACTGAATTCTCTTTTTTACATCTTATCTCCGGTCTACATCAACCTCCCCATGGAATGTGGCCCCTTTTCCACTAAGTCCTTTCCTCTCTCACCAAAGTTTCTCTGACTTGAGGCAGCATAATTGCAGATCAAGGCGGGATGGGGCAGGGCTATAGTTCTGCGCAGCAAAATCATTTTTTGATATATCACAAAATAAATGCATGTTCATAGCAAAGGGAAGGACAAAGTTCAAAAGAGTAATAAAATGAAAAAGAAGTCGTCTCCCCTTCATCGACTGTTGAATCTCAAGTGTTATTTCACTGTTAATAATTTCAGGTAGCACAGACATAAAATAAAAATGTAATGTTAGGCATCTCCTTTTCTAAAAAATCTTTTAGTATTCCCCACCCCTGGGAATTTCCCCTTGGGACTCCTTGTTCTCCATCTTTGAATATTTCCCCAGCTCTCTGGACACCCCTCTCCTTTTCATCTGTAAAGTAATCTGAGCTCTCTGTGCCTCTCTCCTCATCCTGCTAGATCATGGCCTGCATCCTGACTTTTTACCACGAAAATATCTAACCAGATGTTTTACTAAACAAAAACCAATTGTGTCTCTAGAGCTAATCTGCTTTCAAGTCTTAAATTCACAATCCATCCTGGTCCTGCCCCTTCCACATACCAGCCTCCCCATTCTCCCCTGCCCAGCCTGTGCCATAAGTAAATGAAACATAGTCTCAGTCCTCAAGGAGCTTATAGTCTAGTAATGGGGTCAAGAAATCCCAATGGAGCCTCCTAGGTGCAAAAAGAAATGGATAAGGTGTAGGGAGGAATAAAAGAGAAAATGCTCTGATCCCCTTTTCACCTGGACTAAAAATGGTAATATAATGAGAAGCTTCTTCTGGGTCATATAAGCCTTTTATATAAAACAGCCTTGGTGGAGGACCTCTTGGTTGACAAGCACTCAATACATGTTAGCAGTTATTATCTTCTCAACATGCTTGCAGGTGAGTATCCCTCTCCATATGTTACGAATGAGAAAGCTGAGCAGGACAGGCTAAGAAATCTTTAATGCTTGAGCTGGGAGTGTCATCCAGGCTGGTATCCGGACTTCACGCTCTTAGCCAATGCTTACGTGGATCTCCTTTTCTTCCCTAACCCCATGTGACTTTAGCCCTTGAATGCCCAGAGCTGTGCCAGCCTTCCTCGGGTTTGGGGCCTCAAGTGACCCCTCTTCCACACCCTGCCCCTAAAGACAGTCCCTTCGCACCATGCATCCTGAGAGGCAGGTGCTATGTTTTGTTTCTATCAATATTAAGTTGAACCATATGAAATTGCCAATATTTGACCTTTTTATATGGAAATAAATGGCAATTTCATATGGTTCAATCCAATGCAAGACACCAGATGAATTGTGGGTGACAGCTCCCTCAGCCCTGTTCTTCTCTGTGAACCAGGAGTTCCAGACGATTTCACATTTCCCTGTTGGAGGATTTAGACTGAGAGATGAAGATGAGAGAGAGTACCTTGGTACTTGTTTTTCTTTCAGTGAACCAGACCCAGTGACTCAGTGTGAAGTAACTCGGTCAAGCCCCTCTCTCATTTTTGGTTCCTGGTGACCTCTAAAGCATAGCCGTGTCATCTGTAGAAAACCCATGAAATGCAAGATCTGCTTTCATCTTCATCCCCTTCTTGCAGTCCTGACACACAGCGTCCAGACCCAAAGATGGTGTCACACACTCTAAAAGTTGTCTTTTACCAAGCCTTAAAGCTCTTGAGGGCAACGCGAAAGACAGGGTTTCCTGAGTGGTGAGGGATGATTGTGAGAGAAAATGAAACTCTGCCTGTGAAGAAACTTTCCACACATGAACCACAAACTCCCATGTCCTGCCTTGGGCCCCAGTTAAACTTCCCCAGAGTTGGTCAGACATTCCCCTGGCAGCCTCAAGGGTGTTCTGCCTTGCAGCATTTTCAGAAAGGAAGACCCATGCAGAGCAGCCATGACCTACCTCCTGGCTGGGCATCCTGGGAATCTTCCCAGAATGCCTTGTGGCAGAGAAACCTGGCATGAGAGGGCTCTGTATTCTAGTTTAATCCAAATTGACAGCTTTCTGTTTAACAGATCCCCTTTAACGTCCTGCCTTCTCACTTAGAAACCTATTTTCATAATCTTACCTTTTACTCCTTCCCTTCTGTATTGATGGAATACAGTCCCTCCACCAAAGGAAATGGCCTTTATCTCCACTCTGGACTTCCATCCTCTCTGATCTCTCTAGGAACCTAACTTCATCAATTATTCCCTCTTCTCTGTATCTTCAGTTACTTCTTCCCCACCAACCTCTTCTCATTTTGATTTAAACATGTTCAAATATTCTACCTCTTAAAACAAAACACAAATTTGATCTCCTTTCCATTTCCATCTGCCATTTCCTCTCCTTCCTTTCTCAATCAATCATCTTGAATAAGCTGATTATACATAATGTCTCCATTTCTTCACTTCACTTTCCATTTTTTACCTATAGTGAGCTGGCTTCTATCACTACCTCTGTATTGAAACTGCTCTTGCCAGGCCAATAGTGACCTCTTTGTTGTTAAAACCAAAAGAATCTTCTTTTTTAAGATGGAGTCTCGCTCTGTTGCCCAGGCTGGAGTGCAGTGGCGCTATCATGGCTCACTGCAACCTTCGTCTCTCAGGCCCAAGCGATTCTCCCACCTCAGCCTCCAGAGCAGCTGGGATTACAGGTGCACGACACCACACCCGGCTAATTTTTTGCATTTTTAGTAGAGATGGGGTTTCACCGTGCTGGCCAGGCTGATCTCAAACACCTGACCTCATGATCCACCCACCTCAGCCTCCCAGAGAAACGTCTTACCCTCATCTCACCTGATCCCTAGATAATAATTAGGGTTGTTTGCCATACCCTTATTTTGAAGCATACTTCCATTTACTTACAAAATGACAAACTCTTCTAGTTTCCTTTAACTTTTGCAGGCTCTTATCTTGCCCATTCATTAAAAGTTGGTTGACCTTAGTGTTCCAGCCTAGACTGTCTGCTTTTTACACTCTGCATTCTCTCCAAGGGTTAATTAAGCACCTCGGTGGCATCCTCAGCCTTCTCTATGGGATGAGTCCTATTATCACCTGCATCACAGATGTGTCTCCTGACCATCAGTCTATATTACCAGCCATCTGTGGGGCATCTGCTCATAACTGAGTCACATGCTTCACCCTCAACGTGTCCAAACCAAAGCCAGAATCTTTCCCGCTCCAACTGACCATGCTCCCTACATATGGTTACATTGTCTACTGGTTGCCCAAACCAGAAACCTGAGAGGAATCTTTGACTCTTTTTTATTCCCTATAACCAATCAGTCTTCAAGTCCTATAATTCTGTCTCCTGAGTCTTGCTCAAATCCATCTTTCTCCAAACCCATCATATCCTCACTAACTGGATTTCACTCTTTCAGGCTTATGATTTTTTAGTTCGTTCTTCACAATGGAACAAACATGATCTTTTCTTTCAATGGCTCTTCATTACACTTGAGATAAAGACTAACTCCTGAACTTGGCTGATAAGGCCATACATGATTTGGTTAATTCTTACTTTCTGCGTCTCTCACTATACTTGTTAGCCATCCTGAATTCATCTAAGTGTTCCTACCTCTTAGATTTCATGCATATTATTTCTTTCCTCTCTCTATCTCATTTTCTTGGACTTATCCTTAGGGCCCAACTCAAGACACTTCTACTTAAAGCTTTTCTTATGACCCAAGTGTGATAGTGTTCTACCTACATGACCCTGTAGCACTCTGTACTCATTTCTTTTTGAACATTTATCTCACTCTAGTGGAGGAGGTAGACAAATAAACAGTACGTGGGTTCTTGGGGAAAAGGGAGTTTAAGAAGGATTTTTGCTGCCTAAGCAATTGGCATAGTGCCCTTACACACTCTAAGATGCTTATTAAACATCTGTTGAATAAATAAATTCACTAACAAAGAACTCAAACTATTAGAGTTGATGTTTTCTTCTTTCTACTTAGCTATTAACAGGTGTAAGAAAAGGAACATTTTCTTGCTCATGTATGCCTGTAACCTACAATGAGTACTTAAAGGATGTCTAGTATTTCTCTTATTCCGCTTAGTACAACCTCCTGTGAGGTTGGGATTAGCCTCATTCCCTTGCTCAGGTGAAAAGTTATTTGCTCAAATGGGAATCAGAAGCCCTGGGTTAGTGTTCTCACCCAAGGTCCAGGGCCCTTTGCATCTTGATTTTGCATCAAAAGAATAAAAGCATCAATCTGCTTTTATTGTTTTTTAAAAATTCATTTTAAAATATTCTTTCATTCATTTTTGAGACAGAGTCTTGCTCTATGGCCCAGGCTGGAGTGCAATGGCACAATCTTGACTCACTGCAGCCTCTGCCTACCGGGCTCAAACGATTCTCCTATCTCAGCCTCCCGAGTAGCTGGGATTACAGGCGTGCACCACCACGCCTGGCTAATTTTTGTATTTTTAGTAGAGACTGGGTTTAGTAGAGACCAGGGTGGTCTTGCACTCCTGACCTCAAGTAATCCACCCACCTCAGCCTCCCAAAGTGCTGGGATTGCAGGCGTGAGCCACTGCATCCGGCCAGTCTGCTTTTATTCTATACAACTCTGTCTTCCATCCATTCCTGTCTTAATGGCTATTTCATTGGCCAGAGTTCTTTTTCAAATTCAAGGAGATTTGATGGCATGGAAGAGATGTGGTGGTAAAAAGAAAAAATGTGGGGAAAACTTACTCAGAAATCCTATTCCAAAAACTTGGCTGCTTCAGTGGCTGCTTCTGGAGAGCAAGGATTTGGTGTCAAGGGTTGAAGAAGCAGTCGTTTGTAAACTTATGTCAACCACTTGAGTGGAAATGGATGTGTTAAACTGGAAAAGTCATTAACCCTTTAGCATAATATTTTGTGCTTTTGTTCATAACATGGTGTGTGAGTGGAGTTATCCCCAAAAACGGTAGGACCCAGCACATAATGAGTGTCAACCATAGGCTAGGAACTGAATTTGTCTTCCCCAAATTCTACAAAATATTAATAGTTATTTTGGCTACATGAGAAAAATTATGGTTGAGAAAGTGTCTTAGTCCATTCAGACTGCTATAACAAAATACTATAGACCAGGTAGGTGGCGTATAAACAGCAAAAATTTATTTCTTACAGTTCTGTGGAGGCTTGAAAGTCCAAGATCAAGGCACTGGGAGATTCTGTGTCTGGTGAGGGCCTGCTTCCTCATAGACAGCTATCTTTTCACTCTGCCTCACATGGTAGAAGGGCCAAGGAGTCTCTATTGGGCCTCTTTTCTGAGGTCACTGATCCCATTCATGAAGGCTCCACCCTTGTGACCTAATCACCTCCCAATGGTCCCATCTCCAAATACCATCACCTTGGAGATGATTAGGTTTCGTCATATGAATTTTGGGGGGATGCAAACGTTCAGATCACAGCAGTAAGTCATCCAGATCACACAGTTAGTAGGTGGCTGAGCTAGATTCAAAATCAGGGCTGTGTGGTTCCAGGGTGCTTCTCAACATGTGGCAGATGGTGGATTCTGGAATGGTACCGCCTGTGTTCACATTTGCTGTATGACTTTACTAGGATGTCAGACTTTGGGAAGCCACTAATCTCTCCAGGCCTTAGTTCTGTCATCTAGTAAATACGAATAATATTACCTCTTCAGAGTTACAGTGAGGGTTAATAAGGTAGTATCTATAAAGTATATTCTTTGTTTTCTTTTCTTTCTTTCTTTTTTTTTTTTTGAGGCAGAGTCTTGCTCTTGCCCAGACTGGAGTGTAGTGGCACCATCTCGGCTCACTGCAACCTCTGCCTCCCCAGTTCAAGTGATTCTCCCATCCCAGCCTCCTGAGTATCTGGGATTATAGGTGCACACCACCATGCCCGGCTAATTTTGTATTTTTAGTACTGTATTGTTAACCAGGCTGGTCTCAAATGCCTGACCTCAGGTGATCCGCCCACCTCAGCCTCCCAAAGTGCTGCGATTACAGGCATGAGCCGCCATGCCCAGCCTATAAACTATATTCTTATACATAGTAAGTGTGATATAAATTTAACTGTCATCATCATTATCACTACCACCACCACCATTACCTTTGGTGTCTTTCTTTGCCAATAATGCAAATTATTCTGGGTTATGAGATCAATGGGTACTCAGAGTATTGCTCTGAAAGACCTCAGCATTCTTTGGAATTTTGCAATTGGTCAAAGGTATTGTATATGTAAACTAAAAAGTATCTGAGTCAGGTCTCAATCAATTTAGAAGTTTATTTTTCCAAGGTTAAAGACATGCCCAGAAGAAAAAAACATGGAATCACAGAAACAGTCTGTAGCCTGTACTTTTCTCCAAAGATGATTTTGAGGGCTTCCATATTTAAAGGGGAAATGCAGACTGGAGGGAAAAGAGGGAGAGTCTGGTCACTTTACTGAATCCACATGTTGCCAGGGAAAAGAAGCTGGTAGGGCAATAGACAATTATGTATTTATCTTGTGCTCAGTAAATCAGCACTTTACATAAGATAAGGTGAATATAGAGTAGCTACCTGTGGAGATATTTAACTATTAGCTATCTGCTTAGGAACAGAAGGAGAGGCAGTTTCTTGCATGATTCAACTTTCAGCTTTTTTTTTTTTCCCCATTTGACATAGTAAATTGGGGGCTGGAGATTTTACTTTCCTTTCACAGATATATGACTCAGGATACATTCCAGGAGGGATTGAAAGTATAGTGGAGTAGCTCCAAAGTAGACCACAACTGTATAACGGACAAATAGGTCAGCTAGTTAGTTGGGAGCGTTGCCATAGGAATTGTTGTGCTATTAAATAGGGTTAATGTTTTCAGGGGGAGATAGTAGCTTAACTAGCCATATTTGGATGATCTACCTAGAAGTTGCCACAAATATATTTGAATTGACTTGATACAATTTATAATAATATTAAAATTATACATCATAGAATAAATAATTTTTTTGAGTTCTTATTAAATGTCCGGAAGCATGTAAGCACTTTGTTATCTTATTTAATCTTCACAACAACCTTATGTATTGGAGATTTTTATTATTTTCATTTTATAAACGAGGCAACTAAGGCTCTCAAATGTCAAGTATGATCAGGGTTGTCAAACAGCCAAGGGACAAATTGGCATTTGAATCCAAATCAGGCTGCCTCTAAAGTTCGTGCTTTTTCTTAACTACTATCATGTATTCCTTCCTAAACCCACGTACTGGGGCTTCTTAGCAATTATTCCAAGTGCCCGATTTTGTGGATGACCTCAAGACGCAGTCTTCACTCAGATGTAGACCCGATCACACTGAGGCAGATTCTCCAAAGCAGAAGAGGCGCAAGAGCATTCTCAGATGGAGAGATGCCCCTGAGAGTTAAACTCCAGCTCTGATCATATTTTTTTCCACATTTTCTTCTTAGTTGAAATTAGAAAGACCACCAGCTTATACCTTGCAAACAACTGGCCTTGCAAAGGAGCCAGGCCCGACTTTTCCTAGTGCAGCTTCCTTATTATTCTCTAATAAGAAATAGATTTGATAATAGCAACTAGAATTCATTTAGAGTCTTTGTTCCAAGAACAAATTAAAGTTTCCGCTTTGCCTGGAACTCATATTATTTGAATTGAAAGCTAAAATGTCCTGGACTAAGACTGTCTCAGCAGCATCTTTATGTAAACTCCTTCATTTTAATTTTTTTAACTTTTTTTTGTGGTTTTCCAGCATCCTTCCTTTTAAGACTTTGAATATCTAGTAAACATGGCCAAAAGTATTCTTCACACTGATTTGGCTTGAACTTATGGATGAGAGGAGAAAACTTACTCTTAAGAATTTAATTAGCTTTCCTGGCACTGAATTTCTAAGAGAGTTATCAACCATTCTTTTTTCAAGTCAAAACTTGCAACTCAAGACGGGGAGAAGGATTTTCTTAACATTTCCTGATTCCAGAAACATTCTGGAAGATTTATTTTTTTAGGTTAATAGAGCAAGATAAAGTATTTTGTTTTTTTCAGGACAAGTAGTCATAACACATATTGGTCAATGAGAAAATTATGGCTGGATTTCTTATCTAACAGCTGCGTCTGTGTGTGAGGGAAGCAGGTGCAGGGAGAAAGGAAGGGTTAGTTCCTATTCTTACAAAAAGAATGACTTTTCTACTATGAGAAAGTTCACAGATGGTAAGTTTTTCAGTAAAACAAATAAGTAAGATAAGCAGAGATAGTGTAGAGTCTTCAAAAACACAACAGTTTAAATCAGGAGGGGTTGCTGTACTCAGCTAGGTGTGTCTGGAGCCTGTGTACTAGTTCTGATTTGGACACATTATTTTTCTTTAATCTTTTCTTTCCTCCTCCTCCTTTTCCTTTGCTACTGGTTATTGGTGTTTACCATTTGCCAGACATTTTACTAAGCACTTTACATACGTTATCTCACTGAATTTTCACACGGCCTATGAGAGAAGTATAAGCATCACCTCCAACTGACAAACAAGGAAGTCAAGGCTCATGAAAGTTAAGTAACTTGCCCCAAATCAGGCAGAGGGAAAAGGTAGAGCCAGTACTCAACCCTATGTCTCTCTGACTCCAGACCTTGACCTCTCAACTACCACATAATACTGCTTCCTCACTGAACCTTTTCTGTTCTTTGTCCCCAGGGACAGGATGAGAACTTCAGTCAATGTTGTGGGTGACTCTTTTGGGGCTGGGATAGTCTATCACCTCTCCAAGTCTGAGCTGGATACCATTGACTCCCAGCATCGAGTGCATGAAGATATTGAAATGACCAAGACTCAATCCATTTATGATGACATGAAGAACCACAGGGAAAGCAACTCTAATCAATGTGTCTATGCTGCACACAACTCTGTCATAGTAGATGAATGCAAGGTACATTTCCCATTCATGGATATCGAGACTTGTATATAGTAGTGCATGCTTGATTTCTTTAAAAAAAAAAAAACCGTAAAGCCCTGCATGTATTATTGTCACATTTATTTTCCTAAAGAATCATGTAACCCAAGCTTCTGTGAGTCCCAGATCATCTAATTCTGTGTCTAACATGGCAGGAAATCAACAAGTCTGATGGAGAAAGAGTCAATCAGTTGCTTATTTCGTCCATGTGATGTGAAACAACCATTCGGGTTCCCCTATCTACCCCATTTAACTAATTTGACCAGTTGTCTTGAATATTTCGCCCAAGAATTTGTGGTTACTAGGCCGAGGCGGGCAGATCACGAGGTCAGGAGATCAAGACCATCCTGGCTAACAAGGTGAAACCCTGTCTCTACTAAAAATACAAAAAATTAGCCAGGTGTGGTGGCGGGCGCCCTCCTGCTAGTCAGGAGGCTGAGGTGGGAGAATGGCGTGAACCCGGGAGGCAGAGCTTGCATTGAGCCGAGATTGCGCCACCGCACTCCAGCCTGGGCGACAGAACAAGACTCCATCTCAAAAAAAAAAAAAAAAAAGAATTTGTGGCTACTGATTTTCAAATATTTTATTCCTCAAATTAAACATCAAGAGAAATCCCCAGCATCATCTGATGTACCTAGCACAAGTAGTCCTCCTTGCTATATATCATATATTGGTCAAAAATGTGCCAACTTAACTTTACACAACTATCTTTTTCTTATTTGTGTGGGAAAGGTGAATTTTGACCTGAGAGTACCTTGCTCCAAAAGTGGGTAAACAATTTCAAGTAAAGAACAGCTATCCTTCAGGACAATTATCCAGAAATGTCTTTTTAAAAACACTACATCTCAGACAATGCCTGGCTGTGCCATCTTTCTGCAGCATGGATGTTCTGGGCTCTCCTCCAAGCTGTTGGGTGCTAATTCTTCAAGCTTGATGGGCTCTGTCTAGCCTTCATTGTAACTAATTTGACATTGTCAAAGTCAGAGTGTCATGACCAGAGTAAAGCAAACTTGGAGAAACCCTGGCAGGTGAGCAGAATCAACTCTGGGGGTTGGTTTCTAAAATGATTCCACACAGCAGCTGAGGACAAGCTGAACCCAGCCAGAGATCTCTGGTAGCTTTTTGACTTCTGTTGACAAGGTCACATTTAATCACTAATTTCTTCCTATATTACTTCTGGGTCATTACAAATACATACTGTGGCTCTTGCTGGGCAACTAAGGGTGTCATAGAAACAATTCTCTTTACTGGATTGTAACATAGGTCCAGAATTCTAGTGGACTAGCACAGGCTTTTTCTTGTCCTCTCTTTGTAAGATACATACATGGGTGAACAAGGACTCTGAAACAAATTAGGGAGGGAAACCACCCATCAAGAGGCAATTGCACAAGTTTATTAATTGACTCAGTGAAAATGATTCAAATTATTAGAAATTCAGATGTACCTAGAGGACATGATGCATTCTCATGGAAAGCTGGTGTTTCCCACATCTGAGTGAATGTGCTGGATTATTCCCCATCAAAATGTTAGTTTGAATCAACAAGGGTCAATAATCTTGTGAATGGCTTTATGTTCTAGTATATTTAAGTACTTATTGTGTGCCTTGTAAGATTCAGTTGAGTGCGCCTGTCTCATTCCTGTGAGATCCTATATTTTGATTATTCATCCAGTATTTATTGAATGCCTATTATCTATAAAGCCATAAATTAGGCACTGGAGGACAGCAAAAAGAATGTATAATGTTGTAATGATGATAAGACTTGAACTCAAATTATTGCCATATGAGGAAAAATTATGTAAAACAAAAAAATCACAATTTTTTAAACATTTCATAATTATATTTGAGAAGAATCCTAGTGGTTAACTGCGTATGGCCCTTTTGGAATTTCTCAAGAGGCCTCTTAATATTTTGTAGGACACTTTTTGAAAAAGAAGGTGTGGGCGTGGAGATGTCTTTAGATTTCAGACTTCCTGGATTTGTTTTTGAAGGACATCAAGCACCTGAGGATAAATTTGCTTCTTTTTCTTTTTTTTAAGACGGAGTTTCACTCTTGTTGCCCAGGCTGGAGTGCAATGGCGTGCTCTCGGCTCACCACAACCTCCGCCTCCCAGGTTCAAGCAATTCTCCTGCCTCAGCCTCTCGAGTAGCTGGGATTACAGTCATGTGCCACCATGCCCAGCTAATTTTTTTGTATTTTTAGTAGAGATGGGGTTTCTCCATGTTGGTCAGGCTTGTCAGTAACTCCTTACCTCAGGTGATCCACCTGCCTCGGCCTCCCAAGGTGCTGGGATTACAGGCGTGAGCCACTGCACCTGGCCAATTTGCTTCGTTTTTTAAAGCAAACTATTTCAAGCCCTATAAGGAAATGTGAATTATCCATATTAGTAGAAAGTAAGCTCATTAGGAGTAAGGCTTTGTCCCCAGTTATACTACTGTGACCCAGCCCTAAAATAGTGTCTGGCATGTTGTAGGGGACTCAATAAATATTTGTTGAATGGATCCTTTTAGCATCTTTAGTCCTTGCTGTGTTTTAGGTAACCTTTTTGCTGGACAGTTCCATAGAGATAGTGGCTCAGTCTCTATGTAAATGGTTAGCCAGCCAACCACCTGCAAACTCATTGGTTAATTAGCCTTTAGGTGACCAGTGGTCAAGCTGAGCAGGTCTTGAAGATGATGAAAATAGCTCTATTGGTTTATCAACTATTTCAGTTGTTTACATTTTTAATGAAATTGTTGGGTTCAGCTTAGTGAAGGCTATTTGATCCTCAGCCTTTGCTAGGTAAAGCAAGTTGATTCTTCTCACTCTAAATCAGTTAACTGTGTTGATGCTGGTGTGGGAAGGAGGCAGCCAGAGCCATGGAGATAAATTTACACCCTTTCTGAGGATATCTGGGTCACATTTACTTATTCCTTTGAACTTCCTTATGGTTAATTCTGTCTCACTATTTCCCACTTTTTAAAAACTGAGATGGGAGATGTCAGCGCTTGCTGCCAATGCCATCCTCTTTTTCTTTTGTATTACCCAAGTGGTTGGAGCAGAGAGAAGTGGGACAGGTTGGGGAATGGAGTCCTGGCTTTCTTTAGCCCAGCCAAGAAAGGAAACGCCAAAAAAATCTGCTGTCCCAGATTCTTTTGAAACATAGGCCCCAGTATTTACAAACAAAAAAACAAAACAAAAACACTTCCCCCCAAGTGCTGTCTGGTCTTTCAAAGGCACCACACTGTGATTGATAATTTTGTACCACTATTGATGCGGTTCATCGCTGAGAGCCAAATAGGCACATTCAAGGTTATAGTGAACAGACAACTTTCTCTGGGCAGACAGTCTGTCCCTGGCAATCTTTCTTGACAGTTCACTGAAAGGGAAACAAATTTGCTGCAGCTCTGGTCAAAACTTTAACCATTTCAAGCATTGTTATGTCTTGTTGGTCTGTGTATTCAAACTCTTGCCTGGTAATAGTAGTTTGAAGTTACACAATAGTTTTCAAGTTTAATCAGAATAACTGCATGTGGAGCAGTCATTGCTAATTGCATGGTCTGTTTTTCTGAAAAAAATTGGGGGGCTAATGGGGATTGGATAAATGGTTTTTATTTTCCTTTGCTTGATTCGTTGAAGGGCACTTGGTTTTCTGTTCCTAGCATGTTGTATGTGGTCATGATGCATGCATTTCACTTCCACTTGGGTAAGAAGAAAGTCAGATTTCTTTCAAACATTACTGCGTTTGTCACGTCTCCATATTCTAATGCTTTCATAAATCCAGTCTCTCCATTATGTGGAATATCAGTCGTGGGTTTAAGTTTGCACATGACGTTGAGGACAGACAGACAGAAGGTAAGCTAGGAAAACTACTTAGAAGTGGAGGGGAAAACCTCCTATTCTGCAAAAAGGTTCAGTTCACTTTGAGCCAGGGAAGCATAATATAGATGGTCTGGTAATTTTATCTGATTATTAAATGTCTGCATTGAAGTAATTTAGATAAACATTGTCACCAATCTCAGACTTTTAATTCTCCCTACTTTTCTTTTTAATCTTTAAAGCTGGGATAGCTTATTTGGCACAGCTGAAATGTCATGATTTCTGATTTAAAAATTAGACACGTATGCCATCTACCTGGTGTCATTGCAACTGAACCTTTCACATGCATGAGTAGAACTAGATACCTAGTTCTGGATTTCTTCCTCTGTGGTTGTATGGAGTAGCACATGGGCACTGTATTTTAAGGACTGTGTTATTGTGTGATGGATCTCTGGGTAGTTAGACACCCCACAACACTAAAAACATAGTAGAAGTTATTCCCCAAATTACAAAGCAGCTTTAATACCTTGATACTCCCAAGGCAAATATGGATTTTTAAAATTCTCAGATCACTGTTGAAACCCAAGACAGGTTCAAATTCAATTTGGAAAGAACTCCATTTAAAACTAATATTTCAGTCATGTAGTATAATCTTGGATTTGGTGCTTCTCCACATAACCCACAGGGCTTTTTTCTGGTTCGTGGTCTGTAAGCTGGATGTTGATGATAATTATTTTCAGGTAACTCTGGCAGCCAATGGAAAGTCAGCCGACTGCAGTGTTGAGGAAGAACCTTGGAAACGTGAGAAATAAGGATATGAGTCTCAGCAAATTCTTGAATAAACTCCCCAGCGTATCCTATGGTAACTGATGATATAAACAAGCTTTCTTTAAAAAGGAAAAAAATGCGTATATTTCTATGTTTACTTAATCTGTTAGCCGAGGCTTAGAGGAGCTCTTGTGAGTCAGTGATGACAGGCACGGTGCTGTGTCTTTGCCAAATAATGCTTTATAACCGTCTAATTTTCTCACTTGTATTATTATTTGAATGGATGCTGCTGGAGGAATCAGTTGGAATTGAAGACACGTTCTTGCCAGCTTCCCTTTTCTCCCAAGATGCAGAAATGTGGATGCTCTTTTCCCAGGGGACATGAGTAAAGCAGTGTGGTACACTCCAGGGACTTGGGAAAATGAGCAAACACACAGCGTGTTATTCCTTAAAGTGTTCTCCATGTCTCGCCTTGTTATGCACAAGAGATTCTATTAAAAGCCTCTAGAAGTAACTCCCCTTAAAATGTCTAGTAAAGCTTGCACATGGATTGATTAAAAGCAAATACCTGTCTTAGGGAATTCTGACAATTTATCTTCCATATGCTCTTTAAGTAAAATGTTTCAAAGACAGTTTTAAAGGGAGCCATGCTCTTAAAGGCAGTTGATTAAAGAACCTGTTACATCTCTGCCTTACCCTGTGTAATCTGTGAGAACAATGGTTGAAATTTCAAAGTATGTTTCATTATTCTTTCTAAATTTGATAATTGATTAGGAAGTATTTTATATATAACCACTGTAGATATTGACAAAAGTAAGAGAGCACAGTCAACATAAAGTTTAACCAGAGTTAAATATTCAAATTTATTTATGTTCGGTTTGCCTTCACCTGGTGTAGTAAAATCAAATGAGATTATTTGGTATGTGTTTTGCTTTGTTTAACCCAAAAGATTATTTTTTGGTTCCTAAAGAAAAAGATATTTTTAATCTGTCAATTATTTCAGTCATCATCTCATCGTCCTAGAAAGCCTGGTCATTTTACTGTCCTCACACATGGAAGACACTTGTGTTGGCTGTGCCTCTTTTAATGTCATCTCTTGATGAAACAAAAATACTGGTATTTATCCAATATGTTGAAAGCGTTTTGTTATCTTCTATCAAAGCACATAAAACCAGTTATAGGACACAGTTGGAAGCAGAGCCAGTCTTCCTCCTCAGTCTTCTCAGTAGAAAGGAACAGAAAACAAACATCTGTGCAAAACCCTATAAAAGTGATATTCCTATGGCAGAGTCCAGGCAGCCTTGAACAATGACATGGCAACAAAGGATGGCTCTGTACAACTTCACAGATGGAATCTTGTTTAAGGCTGTGAAGTTTTAAGGAATAAATAATATAATTGGTGTAGCACAGTGCCTTGCATGCAGTAGGCAGCCAACAAATCCTTAATGATTGGTAATGCAAGCTAAAATTTTTAATGTCTCTACTATCCTTTTTTATTGAATAACGCACAGTATTTTCCTAAGGTTGCTGGGTTTGGGAGTAAGCTTGGGACTTGAATCATTGAGAAATAAAGCACATTTGACTCTAAGAAGTATGTAGAACCTTGTTTATAGGTGAGAATAGGCTGTATTATATGAAACCAGCGGAGGGATGCTGAGACAGTCATGGTTTATAGAATCCAAATTCTCTGAGATGAGGGTGCTTATGGACCTCAAATAGCCTTTCTTATCTGCTCCTTGTGACTTCTCTCTTTTAAATCAGATACCTTTGAAACATACAAGAGACATGAGATTCCAGTTGTTTTTGTCTCCTAAACCCTAGTGATTTTTGGATAAGGATCACTACTGAACAGTATTAGGCAACTTTTCATTTTTGCTTTTCAAATGACATTGGTCTTTATTTCCAGTAGATGGGCAGTAAACAGGGTCAGGGTGGTCAAGGGATATGATTAAGTGTAGTAGTAGAAAATGCATTCTTTTTTTTTTTTTTTTTTTAGACAGAGTCTTGCTCTGTTGCTCAGGCTGGAGTACAGTGGCACGATCTCAGCTCACTGCACTGCAATGTCCACCTCTCTAGTTCAAGCGATTCTCCTGTCTCAGCCTCCCGAGTAGCTGGGACTACAGGCACATGCCACCATGCCTGGCTAATTTTTTGTATTTTTAGTACAGATGGGTTTCATTATGTTAGCCAGGATGGTCTCGATCTCCTGACCTCATGATCCACCCGCCATGGCCTCCCAAAGTGCTGGGATTACAGGCGTGAGCCACCGTGCCCGGCCAGAAAATACATTCTTTACAGCAAATGTTATAGGTTAAGGAGACAGTTCCTGGGTTTAGCTGTGAAACTGTTTAGGATTTTCTTTAAGTGGTGTTCCCAAGAGCTTTTTTCTGGTAAGTTGGAGGCTATAGGCAAAGCGTCTAGGAGCTTGTTGTTTTTTGCTATGGAAGGCCAGCTTTGGGATCTATATACATGGGCATGTTTCTCAATGGAGTGGTCACAGGATTCTCTTCTCAGAACTCTGCCTGAAACCTTTCCGGTGTGTTTTGTCTTCAACTTTTTCCTAGCTATCCTATTAGCCTGTAAATATGTCAGCAGACAATGTGTTTGGAAGAAACAAGGTGTACAACTTCACAAAGCAAGTTTTTTCTGGTCTGAGACTTACTGTGTGCAGGAAGTCTCGTGAGAATATACTTAGAAAATCACACTTATCTGGAAATTCAATAAGTCATATTAAAAATATACAATTTCTTGAACTCAGGACTAGCCTGAAAATCCAAAATGCATGTAGAGTTGACATGTTGACATATGTCTATGTCCTCTGTTTTTATTTAAGCCTCATTTATTTCTCCCTTGCCATGCCCATTTGGGATTTTCTTTGCCCAGCATATGTGCCATAAACAGAACAAATGGATCCAGGGTATACCTCTAATAACCTTTATCTAAATAGAATACATTTAACCTGTCAATTATATGTATAGATTTATCCTAATTGGTTCAACATATATATGAATGCTTGTAATAGTCTGTTACTATTTGATAATGCATAAATGTTATATTTATATACAGTTACAGCAGGCCAGAAACATACATACACTGCATCCTGTAAGGTCTGTAAATCAGGGCTTCGGCAATGCCATTTTGCTATAGACTCATTCATGTTTTTTAGGAATCAGAATCATTTCAGGAGAAAACCAACTAAGTAGACTTTAATTCTTCTCTTTCTCATTCTTGCCCTTTGAGAAACCCAAGTGGAATCATCACTTAATTACTTACTCAAATTCAATGAATCAAATCCAATCCAATCAGTGAGAAGAATAGCTTATCTTTCAAGGTAATACTTTACCTTAGATCTTTGAGGGCATGCTTCCCATACAAAGAGCATCAGAAAATCAGGGCAATCATCTAGATCTCACAGATCTTCAACATAGGACTCTAGGTTATGAGAGCTGAACCACATAGCTATCAGTTTCAGTTTTTACTTCCTATTGAGTGTGTAGAAACACAGCCTATGGTTTTGCTGTCTGCGGAAGTTACCATACCCTGTAAAAGACAAATATTTCTTTCTCCTCTCGAACCACTAGTCAGCCTGGATATTCATGAAAGCTGAAAGAAGGGGTGCCAAAATGCCTAGCTCCTGGATTTAGACTCATGGAATATGAGAAAGGCTTAGGGAAAATTCAAGTCATGGGGAGATTCCTGCTAGGTGATGCCAGGAATCTCAATGACCTGTTGATTAGAGGGTCTCTGGTCATTTCCACTTGTGTGTGGAGAAATACATCATTTGCATATGTATCTAGTCAAGAAGCCCTTTTGGAGCAAAGTGGTTGGGAAACTCATTTACTGGGTCCACCAAAGGAAACCCAATTCTGCCATGTTTTTGCAAATACTACACGTCCCTTTGCTCTCAATAGCAAAAGTGATGTTATAGTTTTTTTTACTTTTGTCAGAATCAAGGCTTCGGCCACCTGTGCAATATTTTCCCATGGAATGCAGCAGTAAATCCAAGTAGGTATATCCGTGCTCAGAGAGAATTCTCCATAGTTCTGACTCCTGAAAAACAAGTCTCATTAGCTCTCATCTAGTTTGATGACTAAAAGTGCACAGCAGTTATACCCCAGTGGAAGTGATTTTTCTCACCTAGCTGCTCTCTAACTCTTACGGCTATCTAGTTGTCTGAGCTGCTGGTTTGTTTTACTTATTCTCCAACTGAACTCATTCCAAACCAAGAAAAAGGACCAAATGAAATTTTCAGTTATTATCATACTTGCTCCTTGAATAAGAATGCTAGAGTCTGGAGGCAGAAGAAGACTAAGTTAAAAAAAAAACAGCCTGAAGGAATTCTGGAGTGAGTTTTGTAAGTCTAATTGTCAAAGAAGATAAATGGTCTCAGTATCTGTAGTAATTTCTGGTTAAGCCTAGAGGGATCACTGAGTGCCAATCCAAGCAGGTGGCACTAGAGGCAGATTGTTCTCCTAGCATAGAGTGAGTTTCCAGCTGCTCATGACACATTTTCTTATGATTTTCCCTAAAAGAAAACCAAATTTTCTACTCCACCTCTTCCTTTCCTATCATTCCACTTATTGTTGCTGCTTTGCTAACAGCCAGCTTAGTAAGCCATCACACAAGTTAGTGTGAGGCTTGGTTTTAAAATAGATAACAGAGAATCTTGATTAAATAGTATCCAACTTTGTAGCATAACACAGCTAATTCAGGCAATGACATAGAGATGATAAGAAACAACATGGTTTGGTAGAGGGAACATTTGATTTAGACTCTGCCCATTTTTAGCTGTATGACTTACATAAGTCATTTTGTGTCCAAGCCTCATTTTCTCCCATATGAAAAGTGAAGGGGTTGGATTAAATGACTAAAATCCCCTTCCAGCCCTATGAGCCCAATGTATTATGATCTCTGCTTTGTTTCCTTCTTAAGAGGCTTCCTACTATAAAATGTGACCTATTTACATTTTAAGTTGAAGTAGCCCACAATAATGAATAATCAATTTAGATTTTTCTCATCTCCTTTGGGAGAAATTAAATTCAAGCCTCTATTCATTTGATGTTTTACAACAAGCTTCAAAGTTGGCCATGTTCATTCACAGTTTGATATTTTGAGACACCAATAAAAGTTTTTTAATAAAAGTTCCCTTGACTTAAACTCACCTTCCTAATAGAAGTAGTGATTTGGCTCACGGAAAAATGTTTCCAGAGTCAACATGAGAGGACTGGATGAACCTACAGCCTCACTCAAGCTGTTGCATCATTGCTGCTGTAGCAACAGAGCCCTCTCTGAATACCCAAAACACACAATTTTCTCCAACAATTCTAATTGCCCACCCAGTATGGGAATTTGAGAGCCTTTGGTGAATAACCTTGATCACTCTTTTGAAATTTGGTACAACACTTGCACAATCACGGCAACTGTTTGTAAATATCTTTTCTTCTCCGCCAGTATGTAGACATGCACACCCATTCACAAGTAAGCCCGCAAATTCATTTTCACATTTTCCTCTTGGTTTGTTTTTATCATGGGTATCACATTGCAGGAAGAGATGCTCTAACTTACAAGAATGGAATTTTCTGACTATCATTGCCCTCTTCAAGGCCTGATTAGTTTGTAGGGTGGATGGGATACAATGCATGGTCTACAAGGTCCATGTCACCAGCCATGATCTTTAAACAACCTCTTGCACTTTCTGGCACTGCTGCAATGGCCCATGGTGGACACCTCTGCTGTTTGTCCAAACTTCTGCTAAATAGAGTAGTGTTGGTATTTGTTGTGTTGTGAACTCCTTTGTTGTCAGAGAAGACTTCAGCTCTTCAGGTTTGCAAGGGCAAGATGTAAAGCTAGGACTGAAAGGATTGGGTTTTGTTTTTCGGCCGGCTTTTTTCCATTAGTGCAAAAAACCTGATGCAAGGGCAGCAAGATAAACACAATTTCTTCATTGACCCAGATAAGAACCTGTAGAAAAGTGAGAGATGCCCCTAAGTTCCTATTTCATTTATCCTAAATAATATCCTGAATAACTACTGATCAGTTTTTTTCTATGTCCAGCCTTGCTTCACTTTCCAACCTCCAGGCCAAATATTCATTTTGATATTTTACAAAATCCTTCTGGTTTTTACACAGGGCCCTTTTGTGCTGAGAATAAAACCAGCTATTGGAACAGACCTCACTGCTTTGTAGAGTCAGAAGTTGACCTAGAGAATGGGTAGCAACAGGTCCTCAGTTTCTCTGGAGACACCCCCAATCCTTGGGTGAGTGTTGAAACCTGACAACTGACTGTTAGCCTTGTCATCATCCTCACTGGAGATGGAGATGTTGCAGTCGGAGCCTCACTCCTTCTGGGGCACTGTTTCTTCTCATGGCAACCATTTTGCCTGCCTGGAAACAGCCTGTTGCCTTTGCTAGGGGGCAAATACACACACTAGCCAAGGAAGTTGGTCCAGCACATCTCTGAGGTTTCTCCCCCATGGACCCATGGAGCGAATTCCCTGAGATAAATGATCAGAAAGTTGGCTGTCTGGTGGTTTAATACTCCATAAGAGTTACTTCCCTTATAGAAAGTCATCCTTTGGCATCTAGATTTTTCTACAAATCACCTTAACTCCCTCCCTTTCTCTTTCTCCTGGAAAACCTCAGCATTGCATCTCCATGTTGCACAACACAGATCAGATTATCTGGTCACTATAGAGATTTGTATATAAAAAAACTACTTTTTTGAGGATTTTGTATATTGTTTTTCTATTTGTTTTCTACAGCTTGAGGAAAGAGCTGGCAAACTGTGAATCTAACTTGATCTTGTTGCCAGCAGATATATTTTGGCTTCCTGGTAAGAGTCTGTGTTACCAGGGACAATATATTGCCCTCTGATCAGTATTGCACCCTAAATCCACAAATTCCTCCAGCCCAGTCTTACATTTTTTTAAACAAATCCCCTAGCTTGTTTGCTATTATTTATAAAGAGCATTAGAAAATGTATTTATAGACCTGGATGTTATATGTTTAATATTAATTTAGCCTTTAATAATGTTATAGGTTTGTAACTATTCTTCAGAAATTATAAAGAACTCAGTGTAGACTGAATTAATCTATTTAGTATCTGTAATTTTGCAGACATATTTTCTTACAGTATTTTCTATGTAACCACACATGTAGAATTATAACTAATTAGAGCACAAGAAGTTTCTTCAGCAATTTAGAGCTACCAATTGTTTCTTGACTATATAGTCACATTTGACAAATTTAAGAACCCAGTCTTTAGTGATGCAATAAACAAAATGAACCATTAAGAACAAGGAATTGCTTAAATCCCTTAGCTGGTGAGGATATACATCTAAATAATTCATCTTTCTAACTCAAGGAATGGTGCTGATTTTTTAAATGTTTGACACCAGGCCTTGTTTTTCCAGCTGAGCATTCTCATTTTGCTTTTCTCTAAGACTATCAAAGACAAGGTATTAATAGTAGGATTATTCCTAGATCAGAATGTTTCATACATTCCTAAAGGTTTATGTGGAAATTGGCTTAGGAAAACTTTGAGTAGCAGAGACTGAGGATGAGTGCTAGAGATGAAATCAGGACAGATTTGTTGCAGTTAATTCTTGCCAAGCAAATTAGTGGTAAATGTCACATTGTTATGTGAATTGAGCACATATTTTTAAAGAAAGTTTACAAAAAATTTTTAGAACCAACTATGAGGCAATACTGTATCACTGGGGGCTGGGAGTGGGGGCTTAGAATCATACTGAAATTGTTTAAAAGCAGCCCAGGTAGTTTCTGTCCTCAGGTGAATAACAGACTATATAACTTCCCCGAAAGGTAAAACGATAGCCACTGCAGAGACGAGGTGTCTTCCTTCCACCAAATACTTTCTGAGATGGTGGTAGGAGTAGTATTTTTACCGTGGTTTAAAAAGTAGTCAGTTACATAGAAAGTGTATTGGTATGTATTTGAACCTGCTCTTCATTAAACAAACAGATTAGATGTACCCTCGACTGGCAATAATTGTATCTATTTTCAAGTACAGCTAGCTGTCAAAGCATGAAGCTCTTGTGTATACACACTGACACTTGGTTCACGCATGAAGAACAGTGCCTATGCACTTTGTGTAGCTATAATGTAGGTATCTAGGTGTAATTTCAGTGAAATGGTGTATAGATGTATTGTAATTTAAATGTATATGTTATTTTTGGCTATTCATCTAAATGCAGTAGACATGTTGATCGGTGTTTTGCAAACATTTCTTTTTCCTTCTTAGATAACTAGTCGTGAATCATTTCTCCTCTTTCTCAGTGTGGCTTGGGAATATATATGAGTGAAGAATTTATCTGTGAATCCTTTGTACTGATGATTGTTTGAAAGTCTGTGTGTGTCCAGCACCTTTGTAAATACACAATTCAGAGCAGGGATGGGCTGGGTGTGTGTCCTGGTTCTTAGTGAAAGGTCATCTCATGTCTGTTTAATACATGGTGAATGCAACTGTGGAACTTTTGATTACCTAGACTTAGGTAGGTTTAGAATGAGAACATCCATCTACAGTCCTCCTTTGCTTGGTGGATTGGGCTCAGAGGAACAAAAAGTTAGTCTGACTCTGTGCATATTAGCATCATGTCTTTAGAGAAAGGTCAGCCTCTCTGGTTGCCAAATACTCATCATGATGCTCATGACTTAAAGGTTCTGAGGAGCCTTGTCTCCCTTGGATTTTTGAGTCAGGGTACAGGAAAAAACATTGCTGACTAACTAACTGCAAATGCATCTGCAGGTGAAACCCTACGAAAGCACAGTTCTGGCTATAAACTTCAGAGTTCTCTGTAAAAAACTTAGAGCACTAGAAGCACAGGAATAGTGAGTGTACAGCTTATGCGGTTGTAGAGGGGCAACTGATGAACACAGGTCCCACATATATGAGGGAGTATGACGTTCTCTACCTAATATGTTCTGTGTGCATGTTTTGAATGATTGAAGATGGGATTAACTAATGCAAGTTTACAGTTGCCTCCTAAAACACACATTCTGTATAATTATCGCTAAATACAATGCTGTGAGGTCTATAGTTCCTGTAACCCCTTTCTCCTCCCCAAGGACAGAGAAGAACTAGCCATGTGCTATAGGGAACCCTGAGTGCCCTACTCTTTTCCCAAGAAGGGTAAAGCCTACAATATCATCAGGGGGCATGAAGCACATTAATTTGCAGTGGCTGCTTCATATGAGGAGATATGGTGGACAGGCTAATTTTTCCTTGAAAATGTGGCTTCTTCAACTCCTTTCAAATTTAGGATGGAATACTTCCTGAAATAAAACTGGGCTTTATGCAGGATTCTCTTTGAAAATTCTTGTATGTCCAGAACAAAAGATAAAACTAATTGTATTCCTCACATTCACAATCCCCATTGGTCTGAAGTCACGTAGCACAGAGCATCTATAGCACATAGTGTTTAAAGACTAATGAATGCAAAAAGATAAAATCTTCAACTAATTTTTGAATTGTTTCTCATATATGCTACTAGAAAATGCCTTGTTGATGAAGCACATTTTGGGTAGTTGAGGTCTTTTGTTTTCGCCTTTAGCTTTCTAAGCTTTCTTACAATGTGGACTGATTACTGTAACATTTCACGTGTAAAATAACTGGATATTCTTTATATACTGGAAATAACCTGTGAATCCAATATTTCACTAAGTGTTTTAACTTTTGTGTATATATCTCTCATCAATAAATGTGGATTTCAATTTATTTTGGTTGTTGCCTCTTCTTTAATTCCCATTTTAGACTAATTGTTGGTTACATAGTAGTGTTCTTTTTGTAGAAACATGAATTGATGGCTACAATGTTAAAATGAGTATTTTCTAGGAAGCCTAAATATCTATTGGAATTACATCGTGCAATCTAAAGTTAGTAAGTTGAATGAAATGGTATATAGTCAATGAATCAGCTGGTATGGGGTAGCCCTCAAATCTCAGGGCCTTAAAACCAAAGTGTATTTCTTATTCATGTGACATGTCCATTACCAGTTGGCTGGGAGACTCTGCTCTGTGCTGTCCTCACTCAGGATGTATGAGGGAGGCTCCATCTCCATGCTTTTGCAGCTGCCAGTGCAGGAAGAGGAACTTGGCAAATCTTACATGGACTCTTACAGCTTCCCCTGAATGTGTGTACCTCACTTCTGCTCATATTTCAAGGGCCAAATCAATTCACATAGCTCCATCTAACTATGAAAGGAAGTGCAACCTCACCAGATTCACAGGAAGAAAACTGGAACTAGCTGGTGAATAGCTCTAATGACTATCAGGCCATGGAAATCCCTTAAATCATTCATAAAGGATAGTATACAAACATATCATTTCTCGACAAGTTCAACATAGCAAGTTTTTCCTCCAGTATTGGAAAAATAATGACTGTGGAAGTAAGGGGCAAGCCTTAACTGGTGATGCTGTAGAAATAAAATGCATGCTCTTCGACAGTAGGATCACACCCAGCATGGTGAGATTCTGATGCACTGAAAGGTATATGTCCAGGAACAGAGACCCACAGAAAGAGTGGCAGACTCTTGCGTCACACTGTAGGACACCCACTGTTAGATGGCCTGGATTAGTTGAATTGTTTTCTCTTATTCTATTTTAGGGGGAAATGAGGCAAATATTTGATTTTAAGTAAGTAAAATACATAGATGTGATACACCACGATTTTTTTCACCACTGTCGGTAATTTATTAAAATATTGAAAATGGACACTTCATTTGAAAAGACATGTTTTGTTCTTCCCTTGGAGCCAGGTCTACATCCCATCCACATTCAAAATGTTATTAAAATCTTAATTACAGAAAATATGCTCATTAGTAAATCTCTGAGCTGCCATTTTATTTTAAGATAGCAGATAGCCACAAATCAGAGTTAAGGTAAACTTCTTAATGCTTTAGTATGTATACTCTTAGGTCCAAATCAGCCACTCCTGCCAAAGGCAACACACCCAGAGAGAGACTTGACTTTGCTTGCTCAGGGAATGTGATTTCCCTGCTCTTCTGGATCAGAGGTGTTTAATCCATCCTTTGTGAGGGCCCACTAAGTGCTGCTTTTAATTACCACTGCATGAAAAGGAAAAATAAAAAAGAATTTACAGGGGTAAGTAGGGAAAGAGTAATTGTGGACTGAGAGTTTTGACCCAGGAATTCTGGTCTCCACTCAGTCACTGAAGGGTCATACGAATGTGGCCAAATGTCTATGCAATTTGGAAGTCATCTTGGCATACATAAAATGAGGGGTTTCAAGTAGATCACTTCTACGCTTTTGGACTGTGAAATTTGAATTATCTTACCCAGGTAAGTCATCATGACTACAGATTTACTTTTATTTTCTAATCTTACTATCTTAATATAACATCTCATACCTACAAAAGAATCTCTGTAACCCATGTCTTGGTCTTATGCCACATGAGATACTAGCCCACAAGCCCACTACCCAATGCAAGAGCTATAGAGCGTCGCCAACAGCCTTCCTTCACCCGGTGCTCCTCGCTTGTTCTCGTGCTCCTCCCTTACCTTGTTCTCATGCTTTACTCCCCAGAGGAAGCTGCTACTTGCAATTTTGTGTCTATTGTTCCCCTGTTGATTTTTTTTTAAATAGTTCTACCCCCCCCAACATACGTGTACCCAAACCAGCTTTGCTTATTTTTGAGCTTTTTTAAAAAGAGTGCATGTAGTCTTTTTGAACTGTTATTTTTCTATTTAGCATTGTGTTTCTCAGTCCATCCATGTTGTTTCAAGTAACTGTGGTTTGTTCATTACACGGTTGTGTAATAATATGATAGCATGTGAAATATGTCATGCTTTGTTTATTCATTTTTTTGGACAGTGGACTTGTGCTCTTTTCCAGGTGTTTTTCTATGTCGAGCAGGGCTGCTATGGACATTGTCATCTATGTCTCCTGTGTGTATGACCCAGGAGGCTTTAGTGCATGTGGTCCTAATTTTTAAGAAGTATGTGTATGTGACTGAAAAGTTCCTGTTCAAATCTTTTACCCATTTGTCCATAGCCCCATCAGTGAGTCCACTTGTTAACCATTTGGCACCCCTAATAATCCATGCACTGCTAGTATTCCCCAAGTGATTCACACACTGCTAATAATCCCCTAGTGATCCATGCACTGCTAGTAATCCCCTGGTGATCCATGCACCGCTAGTAATCCCCTGGTGATCCATGCACTGCTAGTAATCCCCTGGTGATCCATGCACCACTAGTAATCCCCAGGTGATCCATGCACTGCTAGTAATCCTCTAGTGATCCATGCACTGCTGGACCCCTAGTGATCCATGCACCACTAGTAATCCCCAGGTGATCCATGCACTGCTAGTAATCCTCTAGTGATCCATGCACTGCTGGACCCCTAGTGATCCATGCACCACTAGTAATCCCCTAGTGATCCATGCACTAGTAGTAATTCCCTAGTGATCCATGCATTGCTAGTAATCTCCTAGTGATCCATACATCGCTGGCTGTGTTATGGGTCCATCTTGCCAACATGGATACTGAGACAAGCAAAATGAGACCATTTTTAGGAAGGGAGTGTAAGATGAAGGGCCGAGGCCTTCTTTCCTCAGGCTCAAATGATGAGGCCTTTGAGCACAGATCTAATGGGAGCAAAACAGGGCCCACTTCATCTTTGATCTCTTCTTTGACCGATAATGTGTGAGGCCCAGCAGGCTCTACCTGACATCAGCGGGCTGTTTGCTTTGATGTGAATTGCCAATTAACAGAGGAAGTTACAGAAAGTCACAAAAAAGTCTTTCCACCTACCACAAGAACTGCCAGGAGCCCCTTGAGCCACATCCCCAACGAAGTTCTGGCTGTGAGAACCCTATAGGCTGAGTGCTTTATCAACTACAGAAATCAATGCCTTGCAGTTGAGGAAGGCTTGCAGTGTGAGATCAGTGTGGCAGCATGGTGTTTTCTGGGGAGGGCCCCCCTTCTGGGTTTCTCCTTATATCCTCACATGGCAGAAAGAGGGCAGGGGAACTATCTGAGGTCATTTTTATAAGGGCTCTCATCCCATTCGTGAGGAATCTATCCTCATGATCTAATCACTTCCCAAAGGCCCCACCTCTTAATACTATCACCTTGAGGGTTTGGATTTCAACTTATAAATTTTGGGGTAAAAACAAACATTCAGTCCATTGCAGTGCCCTGCCCTGTGATGGAGGATTGTAGAACCACAAAGGGCAATACCTGCAAAGAGCGTGAACTGTGTGGCCTGCCACCTAAGGCACTGGCCCTAGTGTGGGCACCTCCTTCCAGGCACAATGTCATAAACAGGATGCCAGTGTTCTGTACGTCAAAGAACCACAGGTGACAGCGGGTTCAGGCACCTCCAGGAGAGCTTTCATGAGAAGCTTTCCTCACTTGTCACCTTTCAGCCCAGACAGGAAGGTGTGAGTAGAGATGCCCACACATCTGACTTGGGTTGAGCAAGGAGAGAAGACTGTGGAGTCCCTGGCAACAACACAAATGTTTTTAGCTCAATAATTCTTTGTCCTGGTAGTTTTTAAAGTTCAATTAATTCATTCTTCCACTGAGGCAGTGAAAGGCCATATTTAATTCCCATATTGTCCTAAGAAAAACTGAGCCACAGAGTCAGGCTCAAATTCCAGAGTGTAGACTGGGTCCACACAGCTTGTCCAAAAAAATATAAAAAGAATAAAGCCATCCAATGCAAATACTGTTTTTACTCTCAAACGTTTAAAAGCAGAGACGTTAAACTCTGAAGAATTCCATAAAGCAGATAAATAAAATATTATTTCATGGTTCTCCCTTTCCTTTTTACAAGCTGAATGAATATGTAAAACCTCCACATCTTTTTATGTCTGTTATTTGGGGTAATCAGATTTTAGCCTTCCAAATATTGTCTGGAAAAATCTAGTGGCTTCCAGTTAAGGAAAAAAAGACAAATTTAGAATTGCAGTCATCTGTTCCTCACTCCTTTTGTTGAGTGACCTGACTCCCCTGGAATTCTCCAACAGCTTCTGTCACTTCTCAGATGTTTTCCAGGCCTGAATAACACACTGCTCACAAACGGAGGAGCCACAGAATTTCCCAACTGCCTTCCTTTGAGTGAACAGTTCCGTTGGAACACCATCTTCCTTCTCCACCTGATCCCAAACTTCCCTTTCATCTTGGTGATGAGGACAGAGATCATTCCAGATTGTAAAGCCAGATTGTTAGCCCGTGCTTTTTTGCAGATAAGGAAGAAGATACCCTAGTTTAAATGAACTAGAGGTAACTCAGTTACAAACCAAGCTTAAGTCCTGGCTCCATCCCTTTCCTAGCTATGGATGATTGGATTGTTA
Organism: Homo sapiens; assembly: GCF_000001405.40. NCBI lineage: Eukaryota > Metazoa > Chordata > Mammalia > Primates > Hominidae > Homo > Homo sapiens. Next base: position 35,246,602 of record NC_000011.10, on the reverse strand, counting down.
ACTTAGCCTCAATTGCTTCATCAGTAGAATGGGGCTAATCATGCCTATGAGATAGAGATTTTCATATGAGAACATTCATAAAGTAGTTAGTCCAGTGCTTGGCACATAATGAGGGCTCAGTCAGTGATAGTTACCACCATCATCCTCATCATCATCCTCATTATCACTATTTTCATCCTTAGCGTTACCAATCACCACTTCTTTGTGACCAAGCTGGAAGAAGTCATGCCTCCTCTCTCCCAGTTTGGCCTTTACCCCAACCATATCACATGGACACCAGCATGTAATCCATAGTTCAGCTGCCCTCCCCCAAATCTGAGCTTTGTTAGTAGACCATGAGCTTTCCTGACCTAGCCTGGGATAACCCCACCTTTAGTCTAGAGGAGCTTCATGGTCATTACGAGTTTGCATTATCTGATGTTCCAAATGTCTTCAGTTACTTGCCAAGTCTCTGAGGCTTAGCAGTGAGAGAAGGCACTGCATTTCTTCAGGGAAACGAAGTGAGTTTCAGCCTGGCCCAAGTGACCTCTCACTGAGATGGGAGCCTGAGCTGGCCCTTCCAATGGGAAACAGGACATCCAGAAATGAAGCAATTCTTTTCCTCACTGGAGGAGTCCCTCAGGGAGTCCCCAGCTCACAGCCTTGGATGGGCTAGTTGAGACAAATGTCATGAGAAAGGCCATTTCTGTGGAATGTACCCACCCAGCATGACTCTCCAGAATGCCCTTAGCTGATCAATTCCCAGCAGCTCTCCTTCCCATCATCCCTTTATTCTTTGCCTTGTGTTCTTTCACAAATGTTCTTGCTCTTCCAAGAGCAGATCTCAGGAGGAACTTCTGTGAGCTTTTAGGTTGACGGAGCTTCCCTGTGGCTATGCTAGAATCACCTCAAAATGGTGCCCTCTATAGTTTTCAGCAGCTCAGGGCATCACCACAACCTTAAGAGTCTGCTATTTACTATTAATAGTAAATCATTAATTAATAATAATATTAGTAATAATACAATTATTAATTGTCTTAAGTGGGGATCCCAGTGACAAAATTCAAATTCACAAGATTTTCTTGAGGGAGTATTTCTCAGGAGGGCCTGTAAGGGCACGAGGGGAGCAGGACAGGGAAGGGAAAGAGCTGAGCAGGAAGATAGTCTCAGGAAAAGTCTAACTTTGAGTTGTCTCCTTGAGGAAACGAGGTTTATCTTTGCGCACTCATATCAGTCAGTCATTGGCTATGGGCTACTTACGGGAAGGAGGCATAACCTCCAGGGTGAGGCAGCTCCCATCTGCAGAAAGCCGTTTGCTGGAGCCAGCTGCAAGTTTTTAGCTGTCAACACAGCAGTTAGGCTATGAGTGCACCAATCCAGGAAGGGGGTCTGGGCAGAGCACCAACAGCATCTCCTAAATATCCCATTCCCCACATGCCTGCTATGTGGCAGACTCTTATGTAGGTTCTTTAGTCTTCAAAACAACTCTGTGAAGTAGTTGCTATCACTCTCCCCATTTTGAAGATAAGGAAATTGAGATTCAGAGAAGGAAATATGCACACCTAAGAAGAAGCTGACCTGAAAGTCTTTCTAGTTTCAATGCTTCCTACTATATTCCCTCTGTTTTCTCAAATAACCCAGAGACTATACTGTCACATTATCTGTTTCTTATGGTGGTTGAACCTCTGTGCTGGGGGCAACTTCCCTTGATATCTAATTTTGAAGTCCTAATTATGCTTGGGGCTTTAGGGCATTCAAAGAAGATTGATCATGCTTATTATCCCATAGGGTCCTGCATTATCTACTTGCCTACCTCCTGGAATCATGAAACCCATGTACGGTAAAGAGGAGATCTCAAAAAATAACTGGAGCCGATAGATGTACCCATACTGGTTGGCCCCAGTCAGTTAGAACATATTCTCTTCCCTAAAGAATTTGCTAAGTCAATAGGCCAAGGAGTGTCATATTGAGACTGAGCTTTGATCAACTAGGAGTGAGGAAGATTCTTAGACACTATCTGGGCAGATTAGGAAAGAATCCAGATTGATTATAAATGATTGCAAAGGAAGAAGGAAGGGGGAGTGACTAATATTTGTCTTATATCTGCCATCCTTGCAGGTATCAGTCAGGATGGGCTGAGTTGTCCTGCAGTAACAAACAATATCAAAATCTCAATGGTCTCAACAAGATAAGTTTATTATTGACTTTCATCACAGTCTCACTGTAGGTCAATAGAAGGTCCTGCTCTCTGTAGTTACTCAGGGACCCTAGATGACAATCAACTACTGTTTTTAAACAGGCTTTTGTTGACGTGCCAATGGAGAAAAAGAGCTCTAGGAAAGTCCTTACCTGAGCAGTTAAATGTCACCTCAGCTTACAACCCACTAGCCTGGTCAAATCTAGCCACATAATCCCACCCAGCTTCAAGGGATAATGAAATGCAATTCCACCACATTCTCAAAATGGGGATTGGGAATGTTGGGGGGCTGGAGAGTAGAGAGAGAGATCCAGAAACATTTGGTGAACAGCACAAATATGATACCACAGTCTACTTCTCTGGTCACCTAGTATTCGGTAACTCTGTTTCCCACACGCAAAATTCTTCAAAGAGACCACATAAAGGTTTCATCCAGTCATGACATCAAGGTCAAAGTCCAAGAACTTGGCAAGATGCATGGAAGTTTTCACACATGGTTCAGATGTGGCTTCCATTGACTCAAAAATTTGTGAACAGAAAATACATGTTTTCTGTAGCTCCATTCCCTCCTTTTCCCTGGCACACAAACTCCAATGGTGGAATAGGAACAGTTCAGTTACCATAAATACTCCTGTCTGGAAAGGTGACCCCTGGAAGACTTACGAGTCACTGAGCCATAGCATTTCAGAAATCCTGATGGGCAGACATTACAGAGCCCTTACACTATAATAAGGAATTCTTTTGTTTGTTTGTTTGTTTGAGACCAAGTCTCACTGTCAACCAGGCTGGAGTGCAATCTCGGATCACTACAACTTCCACCTCCTGGGTTCAAGTGAGTCTCATGCCTCAGCCTTGAGAGTAGTTGAGACTACAGGTGTGCACCACCACACCCAGCTAATTTTTTGTATTTTTAGTAGAGACAGGGTTTTGTCTGTCTGGTTTGTCTCAAATTCCTGGCCTCAAGTGATCCCTTCACCTGCTTTGGCCTCCCAAAGTGCTGGGATTACAAGAGTGAGCCACTGAACCTAGCCAATAAGGAAAATGCTTTTATTAGATTCTGGTCTGGCCCCCTGGGGCAGCTTCCCCAGTCCATCTCCCTGTCTTCCCCCATGGCCCTTAATATTACCTTCTAGGAAGTCCTTCTTTTTACATTATACTTTGTTGACGCATCTAAAGAGAACACTAGGAAATAATCTCCTCTTCAGCAACATCCTCTGCTTTATGCTCTCAGAAAGTTAAGGTTCATTTTCGGTCTTGAACAGTTACAGAGTTTTCTAATTAAACTCCATAGTTTTTTTGGCATCACAACTCTTAACATCTCTGCTGGCCTTTATCTTTTTGACTCTAATTAGCCATATATGCCAACCACCATAACCACAGCCCTTTTAAAAACATGTTCCTTTTTCTTAATTGTGGGTACCTTGAGTCAATCAGGCTTAAGGCAGAGAGGCGCATTCTTAGATTTATTTTTCCCTTAGCCATTTTTTTAAATGAAAGAATATCCTGGATGCCACATTAGTTAATGCAGAGGCTTTAACAATGGATGTAATGACCAAGCACTTGAGTTGATTTTGCCTCTGAGGTTGAGTTGGGTTTTATTGCATAAAGCATCTCTCTCATTTCATCTTGTATTGTTGCGAATTAAGAAGCAATTGTCTCTTCTAGCTCCACAACTGTTTATATTTCTTAAGTTGCTCTTTCCTTCTGGCAGGTAATAGAGACATTTTTAGATCACAGTTGTGCCATTAGTCAGGGTCTCTGAGTGACTATGATGAAAGAAATTGTCTGTGGCCTGTGAGGAGCATATAGCAAGAATGAGCAATAAACTTTTATTATTTTAGGCCACTGAGAGTTTGCAGTTGTTTGTACTGCAAACAACTGCCTGGTAACATTAAGCAAATCTATCTCTTGCTCTGGTATTTCAGCTTAGATGTGTCTTCTCTGGTGTAACCTCAGTTGGGAACAAAATAAAACACTCCTTATATGCTAGTAACAAATTGTGCCTATGAAAATGATGTTTAACTGTCCTGAAGAGAGAAGACTTTGATCATTAAAGAAGACTTTCCAAACACAGGATGAAGGAGATGACAGAATAGGTAAAGTCAATCTCTGAAGATATAATGTTATGATAGTTTCCCTAAGAGTGAGGCTAGAGAGTTTCAGAATGACAAAACATTATTTCTTTTTTGCACCTATTTCAAATTAAAAGTGAGGTTTTTAAATAGCTATGTTATTGGAAATTAAACAATGGACTGGTAGATTAGAAATGACCAAAAACTAATGTTACATGTTTATTTCCACCCCCATGGGATGGATCTCCAGTTATCCCCTGAAGAGATGAATCTCTAGCTATCCCCTGAAGAGATGGAAATCTCCATTGTCCAGCTGGGTTCTTGCAATGGGGAAATGCCTAGTGGAGGATGCTCTTGTTCAACAGTTATTGAACATGTATTAGGTGCCAGGCATTGGTCTATGTGTATTTTTATATATATTTACATAACTTTATATATATTTCTACAAGTGAAGAAACTGAGGTCTAAATATATCAAGTACAATGCCCTCAGGCATGATGTCCAGTAAGTAAGCAAGGATCAGGGCAGAAAGGCTGGCCTGCCTCTATTTTTCTTAGATATGTAGAGGTTAGGAGGCAGATTAGTTTTGCCAGGATGCAGCCACCACAGCTGCCATTCAGCAGCTATGCCACTCAGCAGCTATGCCACTGGACCACAGCCATTGTGTCACTACCTCTGTGAATCTCTCTTCATCTCTCACTTGTCTGTGTGTGATTTGCTCAAGATTCAAAGTCCTGGACAGGAGAATCCTTTGTGATCCTCATCCCCGTCTCTGACCACTTGGTGCCTCCAAGGCATAAGCATCTCCAAGTTTCTGCTGGAGCAACTGGCTCTCTACTCAGAGGCTCTCACTCTGCTCACACTTAGGTGACATCTTCCTACACCTGCTAGATCATGAATTCCTCTGCCATTTACTGTTTTCCAAAATCTCTTGATATCTTTTTCTGCTAAGGTCCCTTCTTCCAATCTCTTTGTGAGTCTACATTATTTTGATGCATTTGTGATCATTTGAGTAAGTGTTAGGAAGGAGAATACATAATGAGTATATTCAATCTGTTGACTTTAACTGGAATTCTGTGATGGAATATTCATTCTCAAATGGAAGCAACACTTCACGCTGCTTCCCAGCAAGCAGCTCCAGGTCAATGTTTAACTGCCTCCAGTACCCCCCTCTCATTAGAAGAAACTCATATACACCCTGGCTAGGTCCACATTGGCACCTTGGTGCCATTCTACTAGCTATTTAGCAGCTGGCTTGAGGAATATATTCTCAGCTCTAGTTCTAGGCTATGACTTAGATAGGAAGTAAGCAGACATTTTATCTCCATTCAAATACCCTGGAAGAGCCCCTGGAATACAACAAGTGAGTTAATTCCTCTTTTTTTTTTTTTTTTGATCACGTACGAGGTCTGTTACTATTATTATTTGTGCATTTGTTCAACATACATGACTGACCATCCATGTGCCAGGTGATCTTCTAGATGCAAAGGACATTACAAGGAATGTGAAAATTACAGCCTCAGCTACTGATTTTTTAAAGCCTTGCATAATGATAGTAATGGTGAAATAGGAGGAAAGGGACCAGGTTTTCTTACCCCTGAATCACACAAGCTGGTGTGTGTATGTGCATGCCTTCGCAAGAGATATTCCTCTCCTTTTTTTTTTTTTTTTTGAGACAGTCTTGCTCTGTTGCCCAGGCTGGAGTTAAGTGGCGCTATCTCGCTCACTGCAAGCTCCGCATTCCAGCTTCAAGCAATTCTCGTGCCTCAGCCTCCCAAGTCGCTGGAAATACAGATGTGCACCACCATGCCTAGCTAGTTTTTGTATATTTAGTGGAGATGGTGTTTTGCCATGTTTGCCAGGCTGGTCTCGAACTCCTCGCCTCAAGTAATCCACCTGCCTCGGCCTCCCAGAGTGTTGGGATTATAGGTGTGAGCCGCCGTGTCCATCCCTTCTTTTAATTCTTGTCCCTCATCTTTCTTCCTTTAACCCCATCTATCTCTGGCGTCCCCACAACCTTCCCTTTCTCCTTATAATCACAACCCCTTCCCACAGAAATACAGATAGCCTCCAACTTAATGATGGTTTGACTTAAATTTTTTTGACTTTATGATGGGCTTATGCCAGTATTAAATGCATTCTTGACTTCTTATGATGTGTTATAGGAATATGGCCCCATTGTAAGTCCAAGAGCCTCTGTAACCAGCTCATGCCTGTCTCAGCTTTTTCGGTCCCCTCAGCTTTCCTAGCCTTCCACGTTGGATGCCAACTGCTTTTGTCCTCCTTCAAGTGATAGTTGCTCCACTGGGAGAAGGGATAACTTGAGTCCACAAGGGTGAGAGCTTGTCTCTGGGAGCTTGGCGGTGGGGAGGCGGGGGTGGAGAGGGGAGTGGTGGGCAGCATCAAAAAGATACTACCACACTGGGTTTCCCCTGGGTTACCTAAAATCAAGCACATCTCACCACCTCCAGGATTAATTTCTTTCAGAAACTCTCTGTTCTAACCTGTATGACATAAACCATTTTCTCCTACTCATTTTGACACTCTTACTAGCAGAATTAAATACCCTGGACTTATTATGCTAAAAGAGCATTCTCCCACCTTGCCTCTGAGATAGTTTATCAGACACCTCATTGTTATTTGACAATAAAGAATATCTTGTCCAAGTCGTACTTCCCTAAACCCTGGAGGCAGAGGGGAAGTCTCAGTTCATTCAGTCACAATGATAAGACTTAAAATGTAATCCCTTTGTGTGGTTCATCAACGAGATTAGATGATATTTTTTGGAACAGAAAACATTTCTAGCATAAAATTTCTGGGAATAAAGAATTTTCTAGAAAATGGATGTCTTATTGTCTACCTTTCTACAGAAATGAAGTAGACAATTACTTTTGTATTTTTAATGTTGAATTCTTTTTAAGGAACAATAAAAGGCAGAAAATAAGCCAGTCTCTTGTTTGAGTAGTCCTAGATTCTTTTAGGAAATTTCTTTAGCCAAGAGCTTCTTTGTAAATGAAAACTGAGAACCAAAGTTTGGCATATTATTAAACTTTTCCTCAAACATCAAATGAACAAGTAATCTGTGCCACACTTAGAATCAACTAATAGACATAAAGTGATTTACAGTCCCCAATAATTTTGACACTTGTTTAATAGCTCACTAATTTTGATGCCAGCCTTCTTTAAGAACTGAAATGAAAACTATTCCTGTTAAAAGAGTCAGTATGTTCAGGCAGAAGCAGTGTGGCATAGGAGTTAAGAGAGCATGTTCTAGGTCTGGGCTGTTTACATTGGCAGACTGCTCTGCCAGTTACTAGCAGAGTGACTATGCTTCCTCTGCCTTAGTTTCCCCATCTGTAGATGCAACATAATATGGTACTTCATCTCACAAGGTTGTGCAGAGTATCATTTCCGTTTTCTTATTTTAGCATGTCTGTACCAGGCACTGTTTTAAGATCTTTCAGGTATTATCTTGTTTAGTTCTGATAACTCTGTAAGCTATGTTCTACGATTACCTGTTAAACCACAGAGAGGTTAAATAACTTAATTTAGTTAACACATGCAACATGCTTAAGACAGTGCCCAAGTAGATAGCAAATGCTCAATTTCAGCCATTATAGATCAATATTCTATCTATCCCTCTGTCATAGCAGGTTCTTGGCTACAATTATCTGTGTCCTTCAGACAAGGATCTGTAGCGCAGCAATGGCGCAATGCCTGGCATATAGTAGATATTCAGTAAATGACGTTTAAATTGCAACTAATGAATGTTTCCTTCTTTTCATGATCTATAAATCCTTTTCAAAACACAAAATGTAGTTTAAAAAGAAAACGTGGACCATCAGTTATTCCCCAACCGTTTGTCCCAACTCAGGCAACCCAGTTCCATTCCCATTCCCACTCCCCACTAAGCCTTGAGTGCAAGGATGCCCACCTTCACCCTCTTCTTTCTGGTTTTACCTTGAGGATTCGAGAACGGAAGTCAGGCGGAAGGACTCAGTTTCTACGAAGACAAAGGGCATGTTGTAAAGCATCCACTAGGGGGCGCATTATCAACAGGGCAGAGAAGGCCAACAAGATGGTTGAAAACGAAGTTTCTGCAAAGGACGTGAACCTTGATGGGAAAATTTTCATTACTCTCATCCTTGGCTTGACAGATGAACACATTGCACTTTTCTCAGTCAGCTTTTACACAAAGGTCTAAATTTTGTCCAAGGGGGAAGTGATCTAAAACAGGGAGTCGGAGGTCCCTTGCCTATTGAGAGAGGTCCCAGCTTGCCACTGCCCTGAGGGAGAGTACAGCGCAGCCAATGACTCTGCTGCCCAGACCAGACTTTGTAGTTCTGAGTTGCTGTGCCTCCAAGCCCAGTGAAAGGGATTGAGAGAGTGGAAGAGAAGTAAAGTGTGGCCAAGACAACTTGCCCTGGAAGTGCAGCCAGCAAAACCCATTGAGGTTTGGAAGAGAGATGCTGTCCTTATTGAGACGCTTTTGAGTTTACTTTATACTTATTATGATTTAAATATCTGCTATATGCATAGACAGTCCTTATTAAATAGCTACTAACTTTCTTTCAGAACAATTGTTTGAAATCTTACTCTTCTTTGCATCCCTCTGACAGTTTACCCCTCTGACAGCTTTTCTTCACATTTCTCTCTTCATTTCTTAATGAGATTTAAAGAATCCTAGAAGAGGCGAAAATAAAAAGTAAATCTCTCACTGAACTCTAGTAACCCAAGCTGAAATTTGAAGCCCTTAGCCTTTATTATTGAAAACCTGTCTCTCCACTTCTGCATGGGTGAGTTCCCAAGGTCAAGGATCTTCAGAATCTCCAGAGCTAGGCCCTTGAAATTTCAATCTCATTTCTTCTCTCTCCCTATCTAGGGGTCACCTTGAAGGTTGGCTCTGGCAGAGCCTTTGTGTTATAGATGTTGGCAATAATAAACCTGCATATTCCACCCTTCCCCAGAAAACAGGAGTGGGAATCTCTTCTTCTTTTTGATACTATTTGGAAATCTTAGGGTGGGAGAGGGTAGGCTTTTCAGACCCCAGTGCTTAAAAGGGTTTGGGAGAGGTTCAGAAATTTTTGGAACACCTCTGACTTCTCCCAAATCATGGTTCATATTCTTTCTAGACCCCTACTGTGTATTCACACAAAAGTGATTAAGATAGCAGAAATGAGGGAAGGAAACCTATATGCGTCTACTATATTCCATCATTTTACAGATATTATCTCATTTAACCCCCCAGCATTCTTTCCGGTAGAGATTATTATTCCTGCTTTACCGATGAGGAAACCGAGGCACAGAACTGTTCAATAATTCGTGTAAGGTTATACATAAGTAAATGGCAGAGGTTGAATTTGAACTGAGAGTCTTGTTTTAAATATCACCTTTTAAAAGCTAAACCTTAGCCTCCTCTTCTGAGGTTTATTATTCCTCTTTCGGGAGAGAGGAAGGAGGAAGTGGTTTAGACAAGACTTCTGGAAAACAGTAGTCACCACGTAATGAGATCAGCAGTCTGGAAGCCTAATGGGGCAGGATTGAGGAGCCGGGTTATGGGCGGCCCTGACAGGCAAACTACTGGTGTTCAAGACCAGGTGTCAACACAGGCAAGAAATGGGGCTTGAGGCCAGGATGCCCAGCCAGACTTTCTTCTCCACTGAGCCTTTGCCCCGGGCATCACAGCAAAAATCACATTTACACATGACTGATTCTTCCCTTTCCAATAAGCACAGCATCTATGAAGTTGTTTATGGTTTCCTAAATTAATTCCATTGCCAATGTGGTCTAAATGGTGAGTGTACTCATCCCCAAATCTTTTCAGTGGTTTCTGAAAGCCTCCTTTGGCTCCACCAGGCACAGGGAGCTCTGGAATACTGACCTGGTTTGCAACATTTGGAGATGATGTCTTAACTTCAGCAAATTCAGTTTACCAAACTTCTGACAATAGACAATTCAGGCATGTTAAGCCAGAGACTTTGGAGAGAGCTGAGCTCTATCCCTGGTTCTACCACTTTCTACTTACCTGGTTTGGGGGACCATAATGAATTTCTCCGTACCCTCACACCTCATCATATAGTAGAACAGACAGGTTCATGGGCGGATTAATGAAATTGCAAAGTAAGAACTACAATGACATATGGACAAGGTAAGAGTTATACCCACAGAGGGGAAAATGAGCTCATCCTGGATAGGGGTGGGGCAAGACAACTTCCTGGAGGTGACGATCAAAGCCTTGGGTGGATGCCCAACTTTGGTTAACCTACAGCCACAACCTAGATGGCCAAGATTTAATCAACGAATGCCAGTTATTAGCTTCCTGGACTCCCTGCTTGTTAGCCTTGCTTTGAAAGCAAAAACCTTTCAACTAAAATTGAAGGGCTTTCTTCATGGGGAGCTTCAGATTCTGAAATAATCTGTCTCCAGCCACTGTAAGTTAATAGCAATTCACACTTAAAAGTTGGTTAGAGTTCAGAACATTGGAGGAAATGGTGAAGGAAGAAGTTAAGTACCTACTGTGCATATGTGGGTGATGGCAGGTAGGAATTAATATTTTTGAGGACCTAATATACCCCAGCACTGACACGTACTTGTTAAATTTAATCCTCATAGCCACCCTATGAAGGTTTTACTGTCTCTTTACTGACTCAAAATATTTAAGATGTGTGAACAGAGTTTCACAGTTAAGTAAGTGGTAGAATCAGTATTAAAACCCAAAATTTGTCTGATCCCAAAGCTCATGCTGTTTCTACCATACCAAGCAATCTCCCAAACACATTTACACATGACTTTGCTCCTTCCTTTTCCAATAAGCATGGGGTTTATAAAGTTGTTCATGGTTTTCTAAGTTAATGCCATTGCCAATATGGCTCAAATGGTGAGTGTATTTTAAGCATAAACATGAGAGGTGCCCTTGAGCACAAGAATCTTTCAACATGTCTATCGTAGATCTTGATCACACTAATGGCCCTGATAATTGGCTTTTTTGTAACCATATTTTTTGCAGTGTGACTTTGCAGCTTCTCCCATTAGGAGATAGAATCTATTTCCCTTCTTTTAAAATCTGGGCTGCTCTCGTAACTTGATTGGTCAATAGAATATGGTGGAATGACAGAGCACCAGTTCTGAGCCTAGGCCTCAAGAGGACCTGTGAGCATGTGCTCTTACTTGGAACCCTGTCAGGCCTGGACCAGCCAGCTGGAGGCATGTAAGAGTCAGATGGAAAAAGACCCCAATCATCCCAGATGAAGCTGTCCGAAATCAGACAGCTTCTAGCTGACCTGTTTGTTAATCACACACACAAATGCATGAGTCCCGTCATGCTCAAGTGAGCCCTGCCAAGATCAGCAGAAGTACTCAGTTAACTGGTGGATGCATAAGAAATAAATACATGCTTGTTATTTTAAGCGACTAATTTTGGAACAGTTTTTAATGCATCAGTAGTTAATGAATACAACAAAAAATAATTTTCTTTTTAATTAGAGGTCAATAAAAGCAAAACATTGATTGTTTTAATTATTAGTCAGTACTCCAACTTTAAGTGTTCTCTAGACCTGCTGTACAGCTGTCATCTTGGGATCTCCCTTTATCATCATTTTAAGAACTCCCTCTACTTTGTTTTCTGAAACTCATGTCCTCTCCTCTCTTGGTAACTCCCTTGTTTTGATGGAGTACATCCTTTGGGAGTTGCCTGTGAATGGGTGAGCAGGTTTGGAGACTATGATTACCTAAAATCTCTTTATTCCATCCTTATACTTAATTTGCAGCTTAACTAAGTTAGAATTCTAGCTTGGAAATAATTCTTTCAGTATTTTGAGGCCCTGTTTCATGGTCTTCTATCTTCCAATGTGGCCATTGAGAAATCTGATTCTATTCTGATTGTTGATCCTCCATGTATGTATTTTTCCTTTCTAGATGTTCATAGGATCATTTCTTTGCCCCAGGTGTCATGAATTTTTAAGATAATATGCATTAGTGTGGGTCTGTTTTTATTCATTTTACTAAGTACTCACCTTGTCCTTAGTCAAGATATTCATGTTTTAAAGTTCTGGGAAGTTTTCTTGATTTTTTTCTTGGATGAGTTCTTCCTATTTGTTTTCTCTTCCTGTGACTTTGATTACAGCATTTGCATGTTAAATTTCCTGGACTGGGTGCCAGTCTTCCCAATGTATTCCCCCCTGTTTCCATTTATTTGCTTTTGCTGTATTTCTGAGGGTATTTCTTTAACTTTATCTTGCAAACCTTCTGTGAGGTTTATTTTTAAATTTGTGCTCTCAAGTTTACATTTTTAAAGCTTCTTTTTTAGGTGTTCTCTATATGTTCCTTTTTATCCTGGCATTGTGTTTTTGTTTTATAGATATACCATCTCCTCTTATCTTACTGAGAGTATTGGTGACCTTTATTAGAAAAAGTTTCCTTCTCTAAGCAGTTTCTTTTCTGTCAAGGTACTTTTTCCTGTTTTTTGTAGTCCCTGACTTTAATATTAGATGCTTTCTCCAAATGTCTGGTGCTCCTTGGTAACAGCTCATGTGTGAGAGTAAGCTACAGAAAGCTGACTGAGCTTTCTGGGTGCCTGGTGGGGCTTGAGATGCCATCTTCATTGCAGATCGCTTTTTTTGGGCCATTTCCTTGGGGAACTACCATGTTAATATTTTTAGAATTTTCTCTCAGGCTCATAAGATTCCCCAGCAACACTGAGCTTCTGCCTGGAGAACATATGCCTAGCTCCCAGCATTCTGAGAGCCAAGCTGGGAGAGGAGGATAGGGAATCTCAACACTCTTTAAGCATGGTTTCACTTTTTCAGTATGGCCTTTCTTTTCTTTTTTTGTTTCTTTTCTTTTCTTGTTTCTTTTCTTTTCTTATCTTTCTTTTCTTTTTCAGGGTCTCACTCTTCACCCAGGCTGCTGCGCAGTGGAGCAATCTCAACTCACTGCAGCTTTGACCTCCCAGGCTCAAACATGATCCTCCCAACTCAGCCTCCCGAGTAGCTGGGACCACAGGTACACACCACCATACCTGGCTAATTTTTATATTTTTTATAGAGACAAGGGTTTGCCATGTTGCCCAGGCTATTCTCTAAGCTCCTGAGCTCAAGCAATCCGCCCTCCTCAACCTCCCAAAGTGCTAGGATTACAGGCATGCATCACCATGCCCGGCTCTCAGTGTGGTATTTCTAATGTCAACTGTGTACGTGCTGTTGGACTTCAACCAGAGACTCTCTATTTCCCTGTCTCCAGAAAATAAACTTCTGGTCTTTTGCTGAGATTGGGAAAGGACGGTGTTCAGTTACACAGAGTAAGGAAGGGGACCTGGAGTTCTAACTGCTTCTTACATAGACTTTAAGCTTGTCCCCCTAATCTTAGCCTCATCTTCCCATTCATTTCCAGAATAGCTATTGAGCCTTTTGATGGTTCTGTCACATAAGTCTGGTTGTTTCTCAATTTTCCACACTGCAGGCTTAGGAGTCAGCTTTTCCAGACTTGTTCATTCAGTTACCAATCAGCTATCACTTTTCAGCTTCAAGTTTTTGTTGCTCTTGTCTCTTCTTCCAATCTCTTTAACTCCACTGGTTGATTCCGTCTGGAAATATCTCTTTATTTTCTTTTTAGAGGCTTACATGAGGGAATGAAGGTATGTACACTCTCCTCTCTTTAACTGGAAGTCCAGGAGTAGTTCTTGGCTTTAAAAGAACTAACACTTCACTGTATCTCACTTAGTTTGAAACATGTGAACCACACATCACTCATAGAAAACCAGATTTTCTCCAAAAGAAGACTTTCAAGTTGATGGAAACCCATTTTGTTTTTGCTTTTTTAAAAAATAAAATGAGTGTGAGGCTTCAGCCACCTCAGATACCTTTGACTTTGTTCCTCTAAATTACCCAGACGGTGCCAGATAAGCATAGTTCTGTCCCTCTCAGCCTCCCATTCTTTTAAATTAGAGACTTCTGAGTCTGTTTCCTTTAGTCTTTTAATGTTAGCCTTTTAATATTTTCCAATAAGTGCTTTCAACTCAGCAATATACATATCATGCTTTCCTCATTATTATTGATCCATCAATAAATATACAAAAACCAGAGGAAGGGTGTGCTCTGAAAAGTCAAAGTAACAATAACAGTGGTCATTGTACAGCACAAGAATGAACAATGGGCTATTCTTTGAAAACTCAAAACAAATGATTTACACAAAGACATATCTATAACATAAAGGTGAATGGACCATGTTATTCTTATTCTTAAGTACATTTTGCTTTTCCAGATAAGTCAAATGTTTCCTCTCTCCTACTCCTCTGATATAACAGTATTGAATGAATGTTGGCTACAAAATCAATTCTTGGTGTTGTTATGAATCTCAATATAAAACTTTTGGAAAGGTTCTGCTAGAAAAGCCAATTCTACCAGGCTTGAAATATGGATTCGAAGATGTCTTTTGTCTCTTTTGATTTTTCACTCAGAGCTAATTTTAAGGGAAGTCTTCAGGAGACACAAAAGATTTACAATTGCAAGAAAAATTACATCTTTAGCTCTTAGGTTGCTTTGCAAAATAATTAAATGTTGGCCTTTTACTTTTATAAAGACCCAGTTTAAATGACTTAGCCCAGGTCACCTGAAAATCATTGGTAAAAATGACGTGTAGTCAAGCTGTGCTTCCAGAGTTACGCCCTTGAGATCAAGGGAGTGAGAATACATCTTATTCCATAAACTTCAGGCAATGTTGCAAGGGTTTGTGAAGACTTGGCCAGCTCTCCGTTGACAATGGCCAAGGAATAGAAGCTCTAGACCTCCCTTATTTCTATCGTGAAAACAGAGGTATATCCAAGTGAGGGACTACAACAGTAATAAAGGGAAAAAAGTATTTAATTCCAAAATAAAATTGAAAATAACCTCCTGTCTCAGCCTCTTTTTGGGAATATCTAGAAGGAGTGGAAAACCATCTCTGGCTATGAGACTTGTATCACTACCCCTTTCTCCCTGGGGCGACAGGTAGAGGCTGTTGTAACCATTTTGAACCTTGTCCTGGAGTGGCTTGTTGCTTTTCAGTTAAAGAGCTTGAGTGAGCCTGTCTGGGCCTCTGGCAGACCCAGGAAATCTCTGGGAAAACAAGAGGCACTTGAACACTAGTGGCAGTAACAACACATAGTGGCCTAATGTCCAGTTTCTTTCAAGTTGAAAAGAAAATAAAAAGAAATCCAGACCACTGAAAATGGATCTGGCCAATGATGTTCACAGAAGAGAAAGGAAGTTTTTCAAGATTGTGGGGTGAAGTGGAGGGAGAGAGGGAGGGGAGAGGGTAGACAGGGAGGAGCAGAGGCTGGGAATAGTGCAGAAAGTTGACATCTCTCCTTTAAAGATATTCTACAGATCAACTCTGTCTAAGCCCAGCCCTGATTTAGTCAGGAGCTTTTCTTCTTCTTTCTGCTTTGTGGTCTGAGAAGCATTGCCTGTTAAGCACATAAGTTTAGGTAACAAATGACTTTTAGTAGGAGCCTCAGAAAGGAGATACCATTTAACAGGAGCCGTTGCTTTATAGATGCAATGGCTTCTATGACAAGCAGCCTTTGGAAGTTCTAGGACCAATCGGACACCCTGACTGATGAATAAATGCCACAAAGGACTTGCCAAGTGGGAGAAAATATGAGGTTAGAGGATAAAGCCAGTACTCTCTTGTTTGGTCATAAACTTGCCTATCTGGTGATAAGATTCCAATGATGGGAATCCCTTTAACCTTTTGAGGGACTCCCCAGGCACTTAACTCATCCTAAATAGCAACTGCATCAAGAACAGACACTGGTGTGTTTAAGTTTACAAATACAGCCATAAAAATGTCAAACAGGATCTACATGGCATCATCCTTCCCCTTTGCCAATCTCTTTCATTTCCATTGGCTTCTTCTCTTATTGTAAGACATCAAAAGGCACTTCCATATTGTTTTTGGAAATCACTAATAGGGCCAGCCTCTATGAAATAGGGCCCCAGGGATAACAGGTCATGCAAACTTAATGTGACTTTGCAAAGCCTTTCACAGGAGAGAACAGGTGGCCATTAAACCATAAAAGAGGCTGAAGCTCCTCAGCTTCCAACTCTGATTCCAGGACAGGATGGAAAACCTTTGGACAGTGTCAAAAAAAAAAAACAAAAAACAAAAAACAAAAACAGTGCTGCCCTCCTTGGTCTTCCATGAGATTTGGCTGAGTGGGTCTGAGTGGGAACTCAGGGTCTCTGAGATGAAGACTTAGAAGAGTCTCCTTACCATTCTCAGCTCTTCCTGATACATTGTAGGGACCCAGACAGTGCTGGTTTAGAAACTGAAGAATCACAGCACAAAAGGTGAAGATCGAAGAAGTACAGATATTTATTATGAATCAGTTTAAACCCTTTTGTGCCTCTGACAAAGTAACTTTAAAAAATTATACTGATCAAAGGACTGATCCAGGGTTTAATATTTCAAAAACACAGATAAATAGTTTACTACAGATAAATAGCTTCACCCTTTGGGTGTCTCCCAGAAGCATCTGAAAAATTTCTAGAGGGGGTCTGTTGAAGATGTGTAACTAGTACACCCCAACCCCCAACCTCAGTGGAAAGCAATGCCCAGGGATTAGGCTATGGAAGGGCAAAATGGACCCATTCAAATTTCCTCCCAGGGACCAGGCCCTATTAACCCTGGGAAATGTCCTTAGCTGGTGGGGGAAAGGTTGGCGATCAGGAATACATATGTGTAGTTTTTGTTAGAAGCCATCCATAGCACACCCGAGGGATGAAAGGCCTCCAAGTGGGAACTGGAACGATCAAATTCTTGCTGATTATTAATTGGGCCCTAATTTCAGAAAGCAATGCTGTTTTTACAAATTGGACCTGACTTTAAAGAACAAAACACAAAAAACAAAAAGAGTAGAAAATTTTATGCTAAAAAAGATTCGCAATGAAACAATCAGTAGCACATTGCATCTGTTAAGTGTCCCAGCTCCCTGTAATGGTTATGTTTCCAACGGTTGTTTCTTTCCAAGATAATGGTGTAGGTGTTACACCCCAATCTTCATGTCCACATTCTGCAGGTTCCTTGTCTCATCAGCTGTCATAAACTGGTCTGGAGTTTCTGACGACTCCTTGTTCACCAAATGCACCATTTCCTGAGACTTGCTGGCCTCTCCGTTGAGTCCACTTGGCTTTCTGTCCTCCACAGCTCCATTGCCACTGTTGATCACTAGCTTTTTCTTCTGCCCACACCTAATAATTTAAAAAATGTACCATATCAGAAAGATTGCAGTGACTCAGGCATCAGATCATCATCCTTACTGAGCACCATCATTGATGATCACTATGGTTTATGATGGCTTTAGTGTGTGCCAAGCACTGTGCTAGGGGTTTTCTCTACTTTAACAACTAACAACCAGCACTTAACAACCAGACTCATAACAACCAGCACTCCTCAAAGTGAGGTCCCTGGACCAGCAGCAAAAGCATCATCTTGGAACCTGTTAGAAATACAAATTCTCAGCCCCACCCCAAACCTGCTGAATCAGAAAACTCTAGAGTTGGAGCCCAGGATCTGTGGCTTCTCTGCACAGTCAAATTTGCAACCCCTCAGGGGCTTCTCTGCACAGTCAAGTTTGCAAACCAGCAACTAAGACTCCAGGAAGCCGGTGTTATTATTATATTCTCTATATTCCAAGTGAAGAAACCTTGGGGATCAGAAAATTCAGTAACTTCCCCCAAGTAACTCAGCAAGTAAGAAAGAGGATTCAAACCCTGGTCTGTCTGACTCTCAAGTTCTGATTCTCTTTCTATCTTACTTCACAATGGAAATGTTTGCCTCTTTTAAGCATTTTAGCAGTTTCTGCAGATTTAGATAAACCATCAACATGATGATTGTAAATCATTCTGATTTGTATATTCCAGAAAGTCCCATAACTTCCTCTCCCAGTCAACACTTTGTCGGCCTTGTCAGCATTATTACTGAATGTATCGAGAAGAATAAAACAACATTTTTCTAGAGGTATAAGGCCATAGTGATGTTTTCCTAACATTGGCTAACTCATACAACCCTGATATAGGAAGTTTAATAACATAAGACAAATTATTCTCGTTAATTTAAGGTTTCTCAAACATTACTTAAGACCCAAACGCAAAAGAAAGTTGCTATGGAAGAGTACGACCTTGATCTTTTCCCTGGTTACTGTCCATTGCTTCACCCCACCCAGCCTAATGCAATGCTTCCTCTTTCCTGTAACATATCACTACTACACATATACGAGTCAGACTATGCTTAGAGGAAGGAAAGTTGCATAGCTTCACAACTACAAGCAAGATGGGGATTCAGGGAAGCAGATTACCTCCTGAATACCAGACATTTTACATGTAATTTTCTGTAATTCTTACAACACTCTTTCAAAGCAGCTATTGTTCCCATAATACAGCAATGGAAACTGAGGCCAAAAGAGGTTTAATAACTTGCTCGAGGTCACACAGAAAGTAAGAATGACAGAGCCAATATTCAAATCCAGGCCTTTATGACCAAAGCCTGGGCTCTGCCTGGCTCTGTCAATGCTGCCAGCCCTCTGGAGATTTGGAAACAGTATGAAGTCAGAATTGTTCACTTTGCCTCTGGATATTTGGAGTAATAGTGACAAAGCCTCTATTATTCATGATCATGGACCATTCCCTGTAGGACTGCCAAGGCCATAAACTTTAAGCTCTTGTTTGGGGAAATAAAAATTATACCTCCTCAACAGGAGGTAGATCCTGTCTCCTCTAGCATAAGGCTTGATGAGGGGTTGGGGGAAGGATGCTTGAACTGTGAAACAGATTCATGGGGACCAGGAATACAGATGGAGTCCAGCAGGATGCATGGTCAAGAAAAGGGCCTTGGAGGCCAGGTGCAGTGGTTCACTCCTGTAATCCCAGCACTTTGGGAGGCCAAGGCGGGTGGATCACTTGAGCCCAGGAGATTGTGACCAGCCTGGGCAACATGGTAAAACCCAGTCTGTATTCAAAATACAAAGATAAGCCGGCTGTGGTGGCATGTGCCTGTAGTCTTAGTTACTTTGGGGGCTGAGGTGGGAGAATTACTTGAGCCCAGGAAGTCGAGGCTGCAGTGAGCTGTGTTTGTGCCACTGCATTCCAGCCTGGGTGACAGAGTGAGACCCTGTTTCAAAAAAGAAAAAGAGACCAGGCACAATGGCTCATGCCTGTAATCCCAACACTTGGGAGGCTGAGGCAGAAGGATCACTTGAGGTCAGGAGTTCGAGACCAGCTGGCCAACATGGTGAAACCCCATCTCTACCAAAAATACAAAAATTAGCCGGTCATGGGGGCATGGTGGTGCGTGGCTGAATCCCAACTACTCAGGAGACTGAAGCAGGAGAATTGCTTGAACCTGGGAGGTGGAGGTTGCAGTAAGCTGAGATTGCATCACCGCACTCCAGCCTGGGTGACACAGTAAGACTCCGTCTCAAAAAAAAAAAAAAAAAAAAAAGGAAAAAAGAAAGAAGAAAAGGGGCTCGGAAGGCCTGGTTTTGAGAACTTACTGCTATGTGACCTGGGGCAACTCACTTAACCTCTCTGAGCCTCAGTTTTGCATCAATAATACCAGGTTACTAAGAGTAGCAATATCATAGGATTGTGAAAAGCCCTTGAAACAGAGACTGTCACTAAATAAATGAGTCTATTGTTATTATTCTTGCTCTTATGAGGGGTAAGGAAATAATTGTTATTCTTGCTCTTATGCGGGGTAAGGAAACTAAGGTTTGGGTTAACACTTAGAACAGTATCTGGAGCACAGTAAGCTTTCAAGTGCTATCTATAATTGTTAATATAACAAAAGCCATATGAAATGAATTTTGCTTGTTTCTCCTGGCTGCCTCCACCTACCTCGTTATTATTTACTATGAAGAGGATTTAAAAGGCTCAAGGTAGAATACTGCTTGTGTTACTTCCAATTCCCTGGCCCCTGTGTTCTTTGGAGGAAAGTTGTCTAGTTAAAGTAATTCCCATTTCCCTAACCAATGGGTGGTTGAGGGATGGAATGAAATATTGTGGGAAAGTGATTTATGAGCATAAAAAATATGTCTGTGCATGGGAGTGGGTGGGGATTAATGTTGTTAATCTAAACGAAGCTGATCTTGACAGTGGATAACATTTGACCTATAGGACACAGGAATATTGTGCTTGGTTTTTGGTTGGCCTGCATTTCCCTTTGGATTTATGTGTTTCTATCTGTCTGAGTAGTTTCAGGAGGGTAGGATGATTCTCATAAATAACTCATTCCAATATTCAGTGCTCTAGGCGTCTAATAAGTGCTTTTAAGAGACAAATTCTAATTTTTAAGTTATTCCTAGTTATAAGAATTTAAGAAGGAGCACTAGACCTTAAGGGGCTTCAGAGATCATCTAGCCCAGCTTCTTCATTATGTAAACTGGACACCAAGTCCAAGAAGTATTGTCCAAAGTTTCACAGCTTGTTATGGCACTGCACTGCAAGAATCACAGCTTGGATTTTCTGTTTTTGTTTGTTTGTTTGTTTGTTTGTTTTGTTTTGTTTTTTACAAAGTCTCACTTCATCAACCAGGCTGGGGTGCAATGGCACTATCTCGGCTCACTGCAACCTCTGCCTCCTGGGTTCAAGAAATTCTCCTGCCTCAGCCACCCAAGTAGCTGGGATTACAGGCACCCGCCACCACACCTGGCTAATTTTTGTGTTTTTAGTAGAGGTAGGGTTTCTCCATGTTGGCCACGCTGGTCTCAAACTCCTGACCTCAAATGATCTGCCTGCCTCAGCCTCCCAAAGTGCTGGGATTACAGGTGTGAGCCCCCGCGCCCAGCCACAGCTTGGATCTTCTGACTCTGAAGATCAGAGATCCTCATGGATCTGTGTCTTACCTTTATCTCCTCTTCCCTTAAATCTCAGGCATTAGCTGAGCACACAGCAATCACACAGTGTGGAAGGAGGCAGACTGAGACCTCACCAGGAAAGAGAGGGCAGGCTGGCTGGGGTTTAGAAGCCAGGTAACATACTTTTATGGCATGGCAGAATTTATCTTAAAAGATTTAGGTGGGTAACTTGGCAACTGATCTCATGACTCTTCTACCTGACAATCCTTAACGATATTTAGGGATTTATTTTGCACTGTTTTAGAGCTGTGCCATCCAATATGGTAGCCACCAGCCACATTTGGCTATTTGAATTTAAACTAATTACAATGAAATGAAATTAAAAATTCACTTCCTCAGTTGAACTAGCCATAGTTCAAGTGCTCAGTTGTGGCTAGTAGTTATATATTGGACAGTGGAGGTATAGAATATTTCCATCATCACAGAAAGTTCTATTGCATAGCACTGTTCTAGACAGCAGGACGAGGTTGGGTGAGCTCAGATTGCAGGAGCTAGACTGTAGCATAAGAGAAGGAAAATATTTCTAAATTATGGCGATGCGTAGAGAAGACCTACTGATTGGAGTGTGGGTGACTGCCTGCTGGGGTTTATAGAAAAGACGATTATTCCCATTAAAGTGAAGGCTGATGAACAGCTTTTATGTACAAGCAACATAGTAAAGTTCTCATGTTTTTTTCTCCTCTTTAGACAAATAAGATAGGTTTTTGTTTGTTTGTTTGTTTGCTTGTTTGTTTGAGACAGGGTCTCACTCTGTTGCCCAGGCTGTAGTGGCACTATCATGGCTCACTGCTGCCTCCACCTCCCGGGGCTCAAGCGATTCTTCTACCTCAACCTCCCGAGCAGCTGAGACCACAGGCATGCGCCACTATGCCCGGCTAATTTTTGTGTTTTTTGTAGAGATGGGGTTTCGCCATGTTGCCCAGGCTGGTCTTGAACTCCTAGGCTCAACTAATCCACTGCCTCGGCCTCCCAAAGTGAGCCACTGCACATGGAGTGAGCCACTGCACCTGGCCCAGATAGATTCTTTAAAGGAAAATCTTCTCTGGAGCCTCACGCAGTATCTATCAACCCAACTGACTCCTAAAATAATTATGTGCTCTCATGAAAAGGGAATAAAATATGATTTCTCTTGGAGAGCTGTAACTCAAGGAGTCAGGTGACATGAGGAACAGCAAAGAAAGCTGTTTTGGATGATGGCAGGGGTGGAAAAACCTAAAGAAGTAATAGAACCCCCAACCCAGCATCTTTAAGACAACGTGACTCACAGATCACTTCATCATGCAAGCCCATGACCCATCCTTGTATGTCAACTTCAGAGACTAATGATTTTCCACTTTTGTCTTTTAACCATAATTTATATAACAGTGTCTGGCACAGGGAATGTTCTCAATAAATATTAGCCAATTCAAATTCAAGAGGCCAATACTGCCACTAAACCTCAAGATTCTTTTAGAAAAGGGGTGGTACTCTTTTTGTTTTTTACCTTCTCTTTCTCCTTGCCAGGGCTGGTAGTCACAGGAGCCACTCAAAAGATGTTTGCTGAATAAATGAACACCTATTGGAGGCCCCATTTTCAACCAAACTTTCTCTGATGAAAATAGGATTCTGTATCTCTTTCTCTTAAATGTGACACTCAAAGCAGAAAAGCCTCAGCCTTTGAAGGGGATTAGAAATGGGTTGACAGCTTTAGAATCACAGAGCCCATTAAGGGGCCCGTACAGCTGTTCACCACCTTTTAGCTGCGTGGCAAATCTGTTTTCAATTATCAAATCAGGACATAGTAATTTATGGCATCCAAGCAGCTACTTTCCTGGTGAGATACTCGCTGTGCCGGACCCTGTGTGTCCCTGTTTGCCGGTTGCCAGGGTGACTGCTGGTCTTGGGAGGAGGGAGAGGGCAGCAATGAGGCCCCTTCTCTGCTGTCTGCTGCTGACAAGACACAGACGATGGGGGAGATACCCAGCCCCAATGTATGGACTCCAGCTGCTCTTAGGGACAGCTGAGATGCTTCTCCGAGGTCTCCCTAAATGTCGACAGCATCCATGCCAGCGTTTCTATGGTGACATGTGCAAAGCTTATGGACTGTGTATGTGAGCAAAAGTGGTGCATTCTAGGGCTTGGCAATAAAGGGCTGATTGCACACAATAGGAAATTCATATTTAATTGAGCAAAAGTAATCCAAGGGAAAATGAGGAAGCTGAAGGGAGGTATAAAGACTCTTTGTAAAGGCTCCCCCAAGTCACATTATTTAAATTCAACTAAAAAAAATCTTTCCATTCAATCATAGGCGGCCTTTTAGATTTTTTCTCTCAGTTTTGTTCCTTATACAATCAGGTAGCATAACTACTTTTTAAAACTATGCCCTCAATGGTATAGATAGCAACATAGCTGTTTGACTGTAACATGGCACTTTTATTAACTTGTACCAGCGTAATTATTGTAACAGCATCATTTGATTTTCTCAGATAATTAGAGACTGTATGGGCTGCCCATGGTGTTGGAATTAGCTGTTGGTTGCTTTCCAAAAACCAGTAAGGAGTCCATAATTCTCTCTAGGTCTTCTCCCAGACTGAGGGGCATTTTTCTGCCCTGTGAGGTGATCTGGGGACACAATAAAGGTGGTCCTGCTTGGAAATAAGTTTCTTTTACCTTATGAGAAACCATCTAAAGGGACATTTACAAAAGGCTTAATATTCCTATGAATTACGTCCTGGAGAAAAATAATGTATCTTTAAAGTGTCTTGGGTAAGAAATTTAGATTTATACTTTTATAAATTTAGATTTATACCCCTGTTAAAGGTCATTTCCTCTGTTGCTAGAATTACTATTGTGTATATATAATGTATGTGTATATATATATATATATATTATATATAAAATGTAAATAACATGTAAACCTATAGGTCTTGGTTCAGGTAGGGAGAGAGTGGCCTTCAAGAATATAAAAACAGCCCATGTGTCAGTTCTAGCGAGGTGACTGTCTTCATTTAGTTGTTTTCCAAAGGAAAGTTCTTCTCTGCTTCATAGACCTCCTAACAGCAAGAAGACGATGAAACAGTGCTCTTCTTATGCTATAACCTGAATCTCTTCAACTACAGTTCCCAGAAAATAGAAAATGATATCATTACAAAAACCAAACAACAAACAAAAGCACAAGGCCAATAAAAAAACAAACGACAAACAAAAGCACAAGGCCAATACTTCCTTCTGGTAAAAGTTCTTAAAGGTTCCCTGGGCCTCAGAGAGGCTACAGGGGATGATGAATCACTGAATCTTTATACGATATTTGTGCATTGTGAATGTATTTAATAAATATTTAACAAATCAATGAATGAGTATATACTTTTGTGTGCCTTCCTGGTGAGATACTTCATAACTTTCATCAGACAGAGTCTGCATGAGGTTTAACCCTAAAAAACATGTAAAATCACAAAGGATTCAACCACTACCTAAAAGTGATGAGCCAAACAATCACAGGTGTCTCCTGTCTCTAAAAACCGGGGCAGAGAAAGATGTCTTAAGCTGCACCATGCACATGAATCCCTGGAAACTTGTTAAGATGCAGACTCTGCCATAGGAGGTCTGGGGTTGGGTCTGAGATTGTGCATTTCCAACAAACTCCCAGGGTACCCAGGCTGCTGGTTCCAGGGACTACGCTCTGAGCAGCAAGGATATAAAGCCCAGGTTTAAATGATGCCCTTTCCAAGTTGAAAGCCCCCAGGACAGCCCCTTACCTTCTTCGACTGTTGACTGCAATGCAAACTGCAAGAATCAAAGCCAAGGCCAAGAGGGATGCCAAGATGATCAGCCATTCTGGTATGAGTAAATTAAATGACATGCGTGAGCTTCAGAGACACACTTTGTAAAAACAAAAATGCACTTTATAATTGACCTAGTTGAAACAAGCACCACAGTCAGCGCTGCAGGGGGGTCTGGCCAATAGGTCCAGCCAATAGGCAGGTAATTCTGGAAGAGCAATTTGCTGAAGGTATTTGTCCAACAGCCTTCTTGCTTTAATCTTTTATCATCAGTCAGGATTTTCAAGTCCCTTCAGGAGAACTATGTTTCTAAAAAAGGACAGGATGACTTGTTGAATCTTGTAGATGCCTTTGGTATAATATTATTAAACATATAAAAGGAAATGTAGGCTTCTTTTGAAAGGAACATTTTTTTCCTGTATAAGAGCATCCACCTATCCACCTTACATTGTATTAAAAAACAAAAATGGAGGCAATAAAGGATTGGTTAAATAAATTAGGGTACATCTATTGCATTACGCACTACAATATGAGGAGGAAATATTCAATGACATGGAAGCCATGGTTAACCAGTAGGCAATGTTTGCTAAACACCGTGTAAGGTGTAATCACATTTTGGTATATATTTTACATTTTAAAATGACAGGAAAGGCCGGGTGCGGTGGCTCACGCCTGTAATCCCAGCACTTTAGGAGGCTGAAGTGGGTGAATCACGAGGTCAGGAGTTTGAGACCAGCCTGACCAACATGGTGAAACCCCATCTCTAAAACTACAAAAATTAGCTGGGCATGGTGGCATGCTGTAATCTCAGCTACTCAGGAGGCTGAGGCAGGAGAATCGCTTGAACTCAGGAAGCAGAGGTTGCAGTGGGCCGAGGTCGCGCCACTGCACTCCAGCCTGGGCAACAAAGCAAAACTCCATCTCAAAAAAAAAAAAAAAAAAAAAGACGTATATTAAAATGGTAACCATGGTATTTCTGGATGGTGAGATTGATAATAATTGATTTATATTTCCATTATTTTATTTAGTTGTATTTTTTCAAATGTTTTCAATAATTATATATCACTTGTGGATTAATATTCTACACATTTTGAAATCAGGCTCTTTTAGGACTAAAATATGACTTGACAACTCCACTAAATTCAGTTGCAAAGTGGGTTGTATATGTGTGCAATGAACCAGGGCTTGAGAAAGAAGAGGCATGGAAAGTCTCATTATCTGTTTTCTTCTTGGAAATTTTGGTTTATCTCTGATTTCCTGCTCAGCACTACCTTTGCCTCACCTTTTCCTGGTTTAGATGAGTTTGGAGAGGGAGGTAGAGTCAGAAGTGGGGGAGACTGACAGGAGGGCCCGATTTCTGTTCTTCCTTTCTACTCCTGCCCACTGTGGCCCTGGTTTCCAGCCCTGAGATATCCCACCTGCACTGTCACTGGAGCTGGGAAGAATCTTGCTGCCTGATGACAGCTAAGGCTTCCCCTGTGCTCTCCCTTGGGACAGCCCACCCCTGTCTCTGTCTGGTCTGTCTTCAGGTGTGCTTAGGCAAGCTGGGGCAAAGGAGAACGGTGCATGCCACATTCTTCTCTTTCCCCAAGAGAGGCTCAGTCTGGAGACCTCTGAAGAGGAGAGAATTAAAAGGGTAATTTACAACCTTAGGAGAACCCTTCCCTTTAGTAATTCTCTATGACAAATCAATTTTAATTCCAAGTCAAATAAAGAATTTGCAACAAATGCCTTGTCTTGATGCTCAGGAGAACCAGGTGTCCCAGCCTCCTCACTGCACATGCATACTTTCTGAAAAGTTTATTCTGTCCACATCAGCAGGCGGTCCCTCGACCAAAAAAAAATTAGTTGGGGAACCAAAAGAAAGTTTTCACTCCATCTAACATAAATGCCTCTTGTAGCTCCTCCCTGTCTGTAATCGTAAAAGGAAAATTACATGCTTCACCTTGGACCCCAGAAATAAGTGGAAATTGGATTGGGATAGAAAGGACCTAGGTATGACATGGGGTCCTCTTGGTGATCATTCATTTAGGAAGGAAGCTTTAGTAACTAACATGGCACTTCTCTGGGACAGGCCAGGGACAGATCTGAGTATGAGCTCAGCTAGTTTGCAGAACCCAGGAAGAAAAGACTATTCCATCTTTTCCTACCAAGAGGGTGTAGTATTCTCATTCATCCTTTAACTTGTAAAGAGGAGCAATTGGATTCATATGTTGGGCATTGTGGAGAATGTGCTTTCAAATGAGTCTCTTCGTCCTTGCTGGGACATTCTGAGAAAGCTGCTTTCAGTGTGTTTTTCTGCCTCAAAGTTTGAAACTCACCTGGAATTTGGGGTGTCCTTATAGGACCAGAGGTTGTGTTTGCTCCACCTTCTTGACTCCCATGTGAGTGTCCTAAGGGGAAAAACAACATCTCTCAACCAAAGTTTGAAATGTGTAACCATGAGTTCCTTGTGGAGCTGCATAAAGGGCAGCTCTCCACATTCTGAATCACTGAGAAGCCATTTATGGATTCAAGCTGCAGATGTTTATAAAGCATTACACAAAAGATTTCCCCCCCACCTCATTTGATTAAGGCTAAGGCTTAGTAATGTTATTTTGTGTCAAGGAACATGAGAATTCTCAGCAGCAGTGTTGCACAGTGTTCAGGACTTTGGTGTCTAGAGCTGGACAACCCTGGATTTAAGTCTCACCGCTGTCCCTTGCTAACTAGCCATGTGTGCTGGGTCAATCTACCTTCTCCAAGTCTCCCTTTTCACACTCGTAAGATGGGGATAACAGAATGCTGTTCATCATAATTTTGCAGAGATTTGAAGAAATACACGGTATTGGTAGTTGTGTGTGGTTGTTATTTTCTATTTTTAATTTAGGACCTTGCTACTCAAAGTGTGGCTCTCAGACCATCAGGACAGGCATACCTGGGGAGATCGCTAGAAATGCAGAATCTTATGCCTCATCTCAAAGCTACCAAATCAGAATCTTCATTTTAACAAGACCCCCAGGGGACTCACACGCTCCAGAAAGCCCAAAGGGAACCTGAAAATCTCATCCAATAGCATCATAGGAGCCAACATAAACACTATAAAATAAGGAGTTTGCTCACGCCTGTAATCCCAGTACTTTGGGAGGCTGAAGCAGGCGGATCACAAGGTCAAGAGATTGAGATCAACCTAGTCAACATGGTGAAACCCCGTCTCTACTAAAAATACAAAAATTAGCCAGGCATAGTGGCATGTGCCTGTAGTCCCAGCTACTCGGGAGGCTGAGGCAGGAGAATTGCTTGAACCCAGGAAGCAGAGGTTGCAGTGAGCTGAGATTGTGCCTCTGCATTACAGCTTGGCAACAGAGCGAGACTCCACCTCACAATAAATAAATAAGGAGTTTAGCGGCAGTGGCCCTTTCTGACTATGAAAAATCACCCTATTAGAGTCCCTGCTAATATATTACTGAAACACACCTTGTTAGAAGAATCAACATTTTCTACTGCTAAAAAGC
This sequence comes from Homo sapiens, assembly GCF_000001405.40. Taxonomy (NCBI): domain Eukaryota; kingdom Metazoa; phylum Chordata; class Mammalia; order Primates; family Hominidae; genus Homo; species Homo sapiens. Next base: position 35,218,214 of record NC_000011.10, on the reverse strand, counting down.
AAAATAAGGAGATGAACAAAATGCCTTAAACTGGGAGGAAGTATCGCAAGACAGACAATCCTCAAGTCAGAACTGGAGGCCTATCGAAATGAGGGAGACACAATGGTTCTAAAAGAAACTTCTAAGAAGCCGGGCATGGTGGCTCACACCTGTAATCCCAGCACTTTGGGAGGCTGAGACAGGAGGATCTCTTGAGTCCAGGACTTTGAGACCAGCCTGGGAAACATAGGGAGATCCTGTCCCTGTTAAAAATAAAAATAATAAATAAATAAACAATTTTTTTAAAAAAGAAACTTCTAAGACATCTTGTGAAGAGCCTCATCAAAATGAAAGCTTCATGAATTTTTAAAAATTCTTCCTCCATTGCTTCAAAACAAAATTTGAAAGTGTTCCACCAAAATGAACTTTTTTTTTCCTACCAAATGGAAGCCCACTGTAGAATCCTGAAGGCTGATCAATGGATGAAAATGGTGGGGTCTTAAATGAGAGCTTTCCTCATGGAGCCAAACTTTAGGCTGTGCACACTGAAATCTTGATTACAATGGTTATATGGGGACAGGATGGCTCTTGTTTATGCAATTTGATGCTTTTGTTAAAACTTAAAAGGGAGCAAAACCAGTTCCTACCAGACATCTGGGTGTTTCAACATCCCCTATCCTATGTTGACAGTGGCCTTTGACTTTACAAATCTCCAAAACAGTCCAAGGCCCTTTCCCTACATGCCTTCCAGTGTCCTTGGTGGTTGGCAGGTTTTCACCTGCCCAACTCATGGGACACTGGCCACCTAAACTGAAGATCTTTGGCCGTGAAAACTCCCCAGGAGGTACAGTCACTCTCACTGTTCTTTTTTTTTTTTTTCTTTTCTGACTCATAGAAGCCTTTGATATTTAAAAAGAGGCCATTAACGGATCATAATCACTTTATTTTGATTTAAAAAAAAAAAAAAAGAAGAAGTGCTCCCAGCAAGAAAAGATCTGGGTGTGCGTGCAGCAAGATGAAACCTCCTGTTTGAACAATAGACACCTGCTCAGAAGCCAAACAAAAGAGACTGGCTCCTGTCTGCTTGATTCTCACTTCAAGCAAAAGCCACAGAAGATGGATGTGAGATAGCAGGTCTTGCCTTGTGCCCTAGATGTCTACAAATCCAGCCAGGGTAGGACTGGCCACAGTAGCAAGTTCCACAAAGAGGAGCACTTGATATTCCTGTTGGGAGATGACATGTAATCTGAGACATATGCACAGAGATTGTTCAATTGGCTTCAATGGTGAGAAAAGCAGTCTAGCACAGTCTAAGCTTCCAAATTTTAATGTGCATATAAACCACCTGGGTGGGAGAGTGTAGTTAAAATGCAGATCCTGATTCAGTAGGTCTGGGTTGGCCAAGGATTCTGCATTTCCAACAAGTTCCTAGGTGATGTCCACTCTGATGGTTAAAGAATCATACTTAGAGAGTGGCTGGGGTCTCTTGGTTTTAGAGATCATGCCCCTTAATAATAACTCCCTACTTTTTCAGAGTACTTTCACACTTCTGGTACCCTGTCTTCCTCACAATAACTCTAGGAAGCAACTGAGGCAGATGATTTGATCTCCTTTTTACTAACAAGGAAACTGAGTCTGGGAAAGGTTAAGTGCCCTGCCTAAAGTCCCCAGTGAACCTGTGACTTCTGTCTCTATTTCAGAAGCATTTCTAATGAATCCCTACCTCCTAGTGCTCCTCCATAGAGAGTTATTGTGGAAGCCACCATGTAAATATCCATCTTCATATTTGTTTTCAATGTGTAAACATTTAAATCTGATGGTGAGCCTCACTCAAACTTGGGCATAAAAAGGGGAGACAATAATTGATATGGCTTAAATCATTTACATGGGGTCACCTGGATTTATGATGTTCAGGGAGACCACAGTAAGGCAGCACTGGCAGAACCTCCCAGTAGCCCAGCAGTAGAAGTAATTAGTAAACCTACCTCATGTCAGACTTTTGCAGTCTGGGGTAAGGTTTGTAGGGGTGTGATCTGAATCACAACAAACAGGAGTCTATTTAAGAATTCATGCCTGGGAGTAATTATGGTCATTATGGAATGCCTTCTCCAGACTGTGCTATGAGAAGTAATACAAGGCCCTCCAGGCTTGAAAGGTGGCTCCATCACTCTCTGGTCCTGTCAACTCTGCCAAGTTACTTACCTTCTCTGAGCCTTAGTTTCCTCATCTGTAACATGGGGATAATAATAGTACTTACCTATGTCACAGAGTTTATAGGATGACTGAATGAGTTCATACTAGATAAACTCTATGAATTTGCTGATATTAACCTGTTTTTTTGTTTTTTGTTTTTTGGTTTTTTTTGAGACAGAGTCTTGCTCTGTCACCCAGGCTGGAGTGCAGTGGTGCAATCTTGGCTCACTGCAAACTCTGCCTGCCAGGTCCGAGCAATTCTCCTGCCTCAGCCTCCTGAGTAGCTGGGATTACAGGTGCGCAGGACCACGCCCGGCTAATTTTTGTATTTTTAGTAGAGACAGGGTTGGCCAGGCTGGTCTCGAACTCCTGACCTCGTGATCCACCTGCCTCGGCCTCCTAAAGTGCTGGGATTACAGGTGTGAGCCACCGTGCCTGGCCGATATTGACCTGTTCTTGACCTACAATAATGGCAGTTCCATTTGGCCCAACCTAATACATGTAAAGTGTTTAGAAAGATGCTGCTGGCACACAGTAAATTCCCAACAAATACCAGTGATGATATCATGTGCCAGGATTATGCTAAATGCTTTACATGTATTCTATCATTTAGTCTTTGAAACAATGTCCTGTGACAATTGTTATTATTCCAAGTTTATTAGTTGAGAAATGTTGTCTCAGACCCTTTAAAGCATCTTGCTCAGTTAATATGCGGAGGGCTGGAATCGAACTCAGGCCATTTTTGCTACAAAGCTCAAGCTCTTAATCACTCTGGTGTAGTGCAAGGTTAAATTGGGACACTGCTTGAATTCTTCCTGAGGCTTTCAGATGCAAGGCTTTCCTCCAGAGCAGTAGCTCTCAAAGTGCAATCCCTGTCCCAGCAGTGTCAGTATTACCAGGGAACTGATTAGAAATGCAAATGCTTGGGCTCCACCCCAGACCTACTGAATCAGGAACCTTAAGGGTGGGGTCCAGCATTGTGGTTTAATAAGCCCTCCCTGCAATTGTGATGTATGCTAAGAAGGTTTGAGAACCACTTCTCTGGAGACACTGACTCATACTTCGTTGGTAGTCATCATTAGGCTCAATGATTATAACAGTAAATGACTAAAGCAGTTTTGAACTCACCATCTGATTCAGATCCATGAGTGGTATGGGACCCCCCACTGGGGTGGAATGTGTCTTGGTCTCCTGTAATGAGCAATCAGGAAGGTCAGTACTGCATGTTTTCACTTACACTCCCATCTGCATTTCTTTACCTTTGCATTCTTATACAGCCTATCACAAAGTTTAGTCTTTTTAAGGTATTCCAAAAAATGATGGCAAAACAGCCTTGAATGGGTCCACAATGTTAATTACCGTTCATTGCTTAATCCACTGATAAATGAGCTAGAACTTTAATAAGAATTAAGGAAACTGGGGCAGCAAAGGCTAAGAAGGATGACCACAGGAAGTTTTGTAGAAACTTTGTTTTGGTAGAAATCCAAGAACTGTGGTAAGGAACATGCTAACAAAAATATTGTGATATCTTTGCAGGTATGAGGTTGAGACTAGACATTGTACATTTTAAATAAGGACAATATGAATTGGATTATGAGAAACATAATCACTGCAAATGGGCATACTCTGGCTTAGGGCATGAAACAGAGATTTCTTGGCGGCAGGAAATTAGTATGCAATAAGGAATCTTGGGATTGAATGATGTAAAGATTCAAAGAGAAAGGTCAACTACTTATTTTCAAAAAAAATTGAAAATAAGTAAAAAAGGAAATGGTGAGATGATAGCTAACATTAATAATGTGTATTGGAATATGGGTATTATAGTAAGTTTAAAATAATTTTTTAAAGTTAAATCTGTAGTTTCAACATGACTAGTTAATATAATCCTAGCTTCTCAAACATCTATCACCAGAAAGCTTTAGATTAAGACAACCTCATGAATTGCTAGAATCTAAATCCATAGGTCAAATCTTGAATGCAGCATATTAAAACTCTCTCCCCCACCCACATTTTTCAAAAGCATACTGGAATCTTTTTTTTTTTTTAATCACAGGACAATGCTTACATAAAATGGCTACAGTTATCCATTATGAAGGCACCTTATAAGGAATCTATAGTAACCTGATCGTCACCATTTCCTTGATTAGAGAAGGTGGAAGCGGGTGACACTTAGTCACCTGTGTAACTATATTGAAGAGACAGATTGCTTTGTTCCTTGGCTGATGGTTAAAACAAATGAAAACAACATTTGCTGAAATGCCACACCAATACTCCCACTACCAAAATCACCATGACCGTCACCATCCCATCACCATCATTATCACCATCACCATCACCATCACCACCACCACCACTGCCACTATGATTCTAAATGCTTCAGTTCTTTTTTGGGGGACGGAGCCTCGTTCTGTCGCCCAGGCTGGAGTGCAGTGGCACGATCTCGGCTCACTGCAACCTCCAATTCCTGGGTTCAAGTGATTTTCATGCCTTAGTCTCCTGAGTAGGTGAGACTACAGGCACCTGCCACCATGCCTGGCTAATATTTTGTATTTTTAGTAGAGACGAGGTTTCGCCATGTTGGCCAGGCTGGTCTCAGACTCCTGACCTCAAGTGATCCGCTTGCTTCAACAAATGCTTTAGTTCTTAACATTAAGCGTAAAGACTGAGAAAAATGTATAGACATAAATGAGATTTATGTGGGTGAGTGTTTTTGAAGAAAACCAAGGATGAGAATTGGGTGACTTAATTGTCTAATCCATGGAGAATTATGGAAAATCTGTCCGTACCACTGTGGAAATCAGAAAGAATCAGTGTCTGTGAATATCAGTCTTGTAAAAAGCATTTGATTTACTAACATTAGGCTATAAGCATTCTAGGGTACTGTGACTATTAAAATTGCCATTTAAACTTTAAATTCATGGCTGGGCGTGGTGGCTCACGTCTGTAATCCTAGCACTTTGGGAGGCTGAGGCTGGTGGATCACTTGAGGTCAGGAGTTCGAGACCAGCCTGGCCAACATGGTGAAACCCCATTTCTACTAAAAATAAAAAAATTAGCCGGGCGTGGTGGCACACATCTGTAATCCCAGCTACTCAGGAGGCTGAGGCAAGAGAATCGCTTGAACCCGGGAGGCAGAGGTTGCAGTGAGCCGAGATCGCGCCACTGTACTACAGTGTGGGTGACAGGGCAAGACTCTTTAAAAAAAAAAAATTAAATTCATTGGGTTGCACAACAGGCTTTCTTTTGCCAAGAGAAATGAGACAGCACTATAAGATTTTCTGAAGAATACTGACAATGGTACTTGGAATTTTTAATAAATGAGAGCAGAACAATGCTGAATAAAGAACTAAGGAGTGTAAGGGGCTTTGTCTTGCCAATATTGCTGAAGTTAGCATTTTCTTAAACTGTTTTTCTTGAAGCTCTTGGGTAGGCCACCCAGAGAAATGAGGCCAAGCATGTGGCATTCTGAATTTTCTGTCCCTGCATCACAACCGTCATCTGTTTTACATATTGGATTCTCATGGAGGCTGAGGCAGGAGAATTGCTTGAACTCAGGAGGCGGAGGTTGAGGTGAGCCAAGATCGCACCATTGGACTCCAGCCTGGGCAACAAGAGTGAAACTCCGTCTCAAAAAAAAAAATTATATATATATGCACACATATGAATTCTTCTTTTTCTTTTTTGGGGGGAGGAGAGAAGATCTCTGCTCCAAAATTATGTATCTAAAGTCTCTAATCTTGAATATGCCTAGTGATTGTGTTACAAAGCAATTGAAAAACTAGTACTAGGAAGACAGAATCTGTTTTTTATTTCTTCACTACAGTGGGCGTTTTCCATTTCCCCTTTCTTCACTGTTAATTTCTTAATACAAATGGAGAAGCAAAGAAAAGCAGAAGCAGAGATGACTACTTATTTGAGAAAAAAAAAGACTTATTCTAGGTCCGTGTCAAACTTCATTGAATAAATTATCTTCGTTCCTCTCTTCACTATTACAATAAGAGAAGTGGTCCCTATTCATTAATACTAGATTAAATCATGAACATTTTAAGTGTGCATCAGAACTAGAAGAGGTTTATCCATCACCAAAAGTAAAACTGATCAATCTATTACCAAAACAAGATAATAATTTCAGAGCAAAGATACTAGTATATAGAAATTATTCACCTGTAGGATAAAACCTTACAAAATAAGTAGAGTATATTAGTCGAATTAAACGGAATTGCTAAAATTCGACTACTTTCACCTGCAAAAATATCAGTTTCATGTGGTTCAACTTCATATATCACAAGATAAGACAAAGAAAGCAATTCCATCATAACAGCCAACTTGTACACACAACACACACACACACACACACACACACACACATGCAAACACAGACAAATGGAAAAAACACTGGCAAAAGGAAGCATTCTTTTATCTAAAATATACCCAAGTTTATTTGCACTAGAATTGATAACCAATAATGAAAGATATTTCCATATCACAAACTAGTCCAATCCCAGACTACACAGAAAATGTCCTCTG